>NC_000012.12:109581340-109732855 GCF_000001405.40 Homo sapiens
TGGCACCCCACTGCCCTGCGGGAGAGTCACGTTTCACACCCTGGTGTGTTTCAGGGCCCTGCCGAGCCTGGATATCGTAGTGTGGTCGGAGCTGCCCCCCGGGGCGGGCTTGGGCTCCAGCGCCGCCTACTCGGTGTGTCTGGCAGCAGCCCTCCTGACTGTGTGCGAGGAGATCCCAAACCCGCTGAAGGACGGGGATTGCGTCAACAGGTAACCATGGTCCTTACCTGGCCAGTGTCCCTCCCGCACGGCAGGACAGGGACGTGGCTTCTCTCACTGAGACCTCACCACCTCCCTGTGAGGTGAGAGGTGTCATAGTGGCCATTTTAACATGAGGAAGCTGAGCCCCGAGAGGTCAAATGGCTGGCCCAGGGCCACACAGCTAGTGCTGGCAGAGTGGGATTTGAACTCAGAGTCTGAGCTTTTCTCTCCTGCTCTCCACCACCTCTGCTCACCCCCATCTTGGCTCTGTTGGTTTCAAGCGCCCATGGTATGGTAGAAAGAGCTGGAGTCCAGATCTAGAGGGCAGCAGGTTAGATGAACCCTCCCACCTCTGCATTGACTCAGGCTAGGACAGTGTTCTCCTCTGTATGGTAATGACAGTGCCCTAGGGGTGATTGTCCAGTTTTACCACATGGTTATGAAAGAAACTAAGAGTTTGCTGAGAAATCCACATTAGGGGGTGTGCCCATTAGACTAGGGCATCTCTCCTCCTACGGGGCCGTCTCCACGGAGGGCGTGTCACCTCTCTGCGTTCCTATTGACCACGTGAGTCAGTGAGGCCTGTCCAGACAGGCTTGACCACAGACCATTTCTATCATTAGGAGAATGTTCCTTGAGAAACCACCCAGTGCGCAGAGGTTACGCAGTTTGTCCCAGGACCAGGAGTTGTGGATGAGGCCCCCAAATGCAGAGCTCTGTCCTCTTCCTGGGCTTGTTTTTGTTTTGTTTTGTTTTGTTTTCTGAGCTTGGTTTTTTTGTTTGTTTGTTTGTTTGTTTGTTTGTTTGTTTTTTGAGATGGAGTCTCGCTCTGTCACCCAGGCTGGAGTGCAGTGGTGTGATCTTGGCTCACTGCAACCTCTGCCTCCAGGTTCAAGTGATTTTCCACGGGCCAAAGGACTGGCCCTGTCTTTCAAAAGGTGGAGGGTGACTGTGTGTGTGCACTTGCATGTGTGTGTGTTCTTATGCTGCTTCTAACCATTTCTCCCACCTTCCCCTGAAGGCCAGTCATTCCTTCTCAGAACCCTTAGGGAGAGTAGACCTCCCACCCCACCCCACCCCACCACACCCCACCCATCATGTGTTTCTGAGTCGGAAAGGACTGGAGCCCAGTCTCCTTTGAAGACTCAAATCTGAGCCCCCTAAAAAACAAACTGTGTAGAGCAGGAGGAAGACTCACATTTGTTGAGAGGGCCAGGCCCTGGGCTAGGTCAGCTGCCTGAGTTACCTTCCCCCGCCTCCATCACTCACTTCATCCCAGGCACGCTGCCACCTGTTGGTCCCTGGGAAGGGCCAGCCAGCTCTGGTGTGGTTCCAGTGCTGCACAAGTGGTGTGTCTGGAATGCACCCCACACACACACCTTGCCCAGCTGGCTCCCCTTGTCCTTCAGGCACCACCACCCCGCCCCAGCCCCCAGCAATTCAGCCCATCGTACTCTTACAGAAACACCTGGTTTGTTTTTGTTTTTGTTTTTTTAACTATATTATCATTTATTAAATGTAATTAGGTAGCTCTGGATCCTTGGTCTGTTTTTTTTTTCTTTTATTATTATTATACTTTAAGTTTTAGGGTACATGTGCACAATGTGCAGGTTAGTTACATATGTATACATGTGCCATGCTGGTGTGCTGCACCCATTAGCTCATCATTTAGCATTAGGTATATCTCCTAATGCTATCCCTCCCCTCTCCCCCCATCCCACCACAGTCCCCAGAGTGTGATGTTCCCCTTCCTGTGTCCATGTGTTCTCATTGTTCAATTCCCACCTATGAGTGAGAATATGCGGTGTTTGGTTTTTTGTTCTTGCGATAGTTTACTGAGAATGATGATTTCCAATTTCATCCATGTCCCTACAAAGGACATGAACTCATCATTTTTTATGGCTGCATAGTGTTCCATGGTGTATATGTGCCACATTTTCTTAATCCAGTCTATCATTGTTGGACATTTGGGTGGGTTCCAAGTCTTTGCTATTGTGAATAGTGCTGCAATAAACACACGTGTGCATGTGTCTTTATAGCAGCATGATTTATAGTCCTTTGGGTATATACCCAGTAATGGGATGGCTGGGTCAAATGGTATTTCTAGTTCTACATCCCTGAGGAATCGCCACACTGACTTCCACAATGGTTGAACTAGTTTACAGTCCCACCAACAGTGTAAAAGTGTTCCTATTTCTCCACATCCTCTCCAGCACCTGTTGAGAAACACCTGCTTTGAAGTCACATATTGCAGTGTCATGGATTTGTTTGTATTTGAATACTGATCGCTTTCTGACCTTCACTTTCTCCATTAGACTCTAAGCTCCAAGAAGTCAGGGACCTTGTCTGTTTTGCTCCCTACTAGGAGCTTAGTCACAGGCACATAGCAGTTGCTCAATAAATGCTGAATGAATAAGTGAGTGTATCTTGTTGGCACCATTAAGTTAGTAGCTAAGAGCTTGGGCTCCAAGTCAGCAGATGTGGTCCTGACCCAGCAGTGAGTAGCACTGTGATCTCCAGGATGCTGTTTGACCCATCCAAGCCTCAGTTTCCGTTTCTGTAAGAAACAGGATAATTATTATACCTTCCCTGTAGGGCACAATTGGGAGGATTATGAACCATTTCTCAATGGTCCATTTGAGAAAGCATTTAGCACAATGTTTGGCACATGCTAATCAATAGTATGTTAACTGATGTTAACTCATTATTAATCATAGTCTCACAGCTACCATGTGAGTTGCCAAGTCCGTAAAAATCCTTATTTGGCAGATGAAGAAAGAGACTCAGAGCAGGTAATTGACTTGCTCAGGGCTCACAGCAAGTAAGTGATTGAACCAGGCCCCCAGGCGCTGTGACCCCAGACGGCCTATTTTGAGGGGAGCACATCCTATCTCCTGGGCATTACACAAAGCACTTGTGTATTTTTTCCATCTCAATATCCTCAGTGAGATAGACACTATTATCCCTGTTTTATGGATGAGAAAACAGGGTTTAAGGTGAAGCAGTTGCTCACAGATGCCCAGTGAGTCAGTGATAGGATGGGCTCCAAAAAGGGCTCACTGGCTGGGCACGGTGGCTCACGCCTGTAATCCCAGCACTTTGGGAGGCTGAGGTAGGCAGATCGCTTCAGGTCAGGAGTTCGAGATCAGCCTGGCCAACACAGCAAAAACCCATCTCTACTAAAAATACAAACATTAGCCAGGCGTGGTGGCAGGCGCCTGTAATCCCAGCTACTCGGGAGGCTGAGGTAGGAGAATCGCTTGAACCCAGGAGGCAGAGGTTGCAGTGAGCTGAGATCGTGCCACAGCACTCCAGCCTGGGGGACAAGAGCGAAACTCCATCTCAAAAAAACAAAACTAGGCTGACTGCTTACTCCATAACTCTGCCACTGAGCCACATCATTCTCAGAGGTCAGAAAACCACCTTTAGCTTCTGCTGTTTCATGAGGAAGGGAATCTGCAGAAAGGAAACAAAAGCTGAGAGAAAAGAGTGGGGAAGTGGGGTTGATCATTTTGTCTTGTTCCATACTCATGTGTTTTGGGTCTGTTCATTTAAACTGTTTGTGAGCCCACACCTGGTCCATGGAAGGCAGTGAGGCCACGTGCTTGGGAGAGATCCAGACATGGTTGGGACGAGCCTGGCCCCTCCAGGGGTCTCTGGGGCTCCTGGGATTTGAATTCATAATGATCGTGCTTTGGATCTACTTGCAGGGCCCTGGGAAAGAGTCACACCTCTGCCCGTTCTTCTTAAAGGCAGGCTTGGTTCAGGTGTGGACGCTTATGCAGAGGTCTGTTATAGTGGCAGTTGCCACCTGCTGCTTGTGGACACCTTGCCATCATTAGACACACATGCAGCTAGCCTCTGAGGAGGGTGGGGGTTCCAATTCTCCAGGGAAGGATAATGAGGCTCAGAGAGGTTAGATAACAGGCCCAGAGTCACTCAGCTAGTAAGAGGCAATGCAGGGGCCAGGTGCGGTGGCTCATGCCTGTAATCCCAGCACTTTGGGAGGCCAAAGCGGGCGTTCGAGACCAGCCTGTCCAATATGGTGAAACCCCGTCTCTACTAAAAAATACAAAAATTAGCTGGGCGTGCTGGTGTGCACCTGTTGTCCCAGCTGCTCGGGAGGCTGAGGCAGGAGAATTGCTTGAACCCGGGAGAAAGTGAGCTGAGATTGCACCACTGCACTCCAGCCTGGGTGACAGAGTGAGACTCCGTCTCAAAAAAAAAGAAAAAAAAAGAGGCAAAGTAGGACCACGGGAGTCCAAAGCCCAGGCTGTTTTGACTGCGCCAGGTGGGCTTCAGAGGGAAGGGCGCACACTTGGCACGCTCCGTAGCTGGAGAGGTTCAGAGTGGACTTGTTCTTTCTGAGCTCAAGGGCCCAAGCTCCTATGCCCCTTGGCCTGCCCAGCACAGCCCCAGGTGACCCCTCCCCAGCCCCACTCCTCACTGCCACAGTAAAGATGAACATCTGTGTCTTCAGGTGGACCAAGGAGGATTTGGAGCTAATTAACAAGTGGGCCTTCCAAGGGGAGAGAATGATTCACGGGAACCCCTCCGGAGTGGACAATGCTGTCAGCACCTGGGGTAGGTGTGGCCTCAGGTTTATTTTATTGTTGTTATTTTAAAAATTCTTATTACAATGGTAGGTGCCCAAGAGTCTGTGCTGGTTTGGGAGGAATCGAATCAATGGATTCTGGAAAAAATAGCATTTTCCTATTTTGGGGGGAATGGGGAGAAATCTTGGGGCCCTGTCTCACACCCCCTGAATCAGAATCTCCGGGGGTGGAACTGGGGCCTGGGAAGCTGCAGCTTCCACGAGCTCCCCAAGAGAGTTGTAGGTTCAGGATGCAGAGCCGTTGCCGTGGAGTTTGCACACCATCCAGGTGGCCTCCCCTCTGGCAAGAACTCTTGCTTACAGGGCCCAGATGCTGTGTCCTGGGCCCCACCTTCACCATGTGGCTTGTCGGGGGAAGCTGGACAGTCTGGAGGGAGGGGGACCCAGGAATCCAAGGCCTGGCAAGAGCTTCCTGGTGGGGCTTCGGGGACCTTTTGCCCTCCTGCACCTTTTGTAACTGAAGCTGGGCTGACTCATTACTTAGCCTCTTTCCTGAATGGGGCAAAATGAACCCAACCCAAAGTTCAACCTCTCTCCCAAGTAGCACAGATATGTTAGCTTTTCCCACAGCTCTGACCCACTGGTTTTTCTCTTTAGGAGGAGCCCTCCGATACCATCAAGGGAAGATTTCATCCTTAAAGAGGTAACCTGGGGGTGGAGCAGCACATTCAGCCATGGCTGCATTGATGTGTGCAGGGGGCAGAGCTCTGCACCTTTGGGAAGTACCATAGGAGGCAGGTGTCCCTGGCTCTTCATCCCCCAATGTGGCCCTCACAGTGCACTAGCTGCAAGGAAGCAGGGGTGGTGGGGAAGACCTGCTCTCTCCTTCTCCCCTTCAGCTCTTAAATTGCAGAGATATCAGAAAGGGAAAGTCATGCATGGCTGTGCCCGTAGACTCTCAGCTGCTCATTCATTCATTCCTGTATTTGCTTAGTAAACAAGAATCCATTACTTCCTGTGTTCCCGATGATGCTGCACTGGGGCGTAGGAATGGAGAGATGAAGCTTGGGTACAGTTTCCAAGGACTCTCAGTCTGCTTGTGGGGGTGGGGCCAGACACACACAAAAGCCGCCACAGGACAATGTGAGAGTCACCATGATGGAGGCACACAGGGCAGAGGCAGGATGGAAGCGGGAGGGAGGCTTGGGAGGGGCTTGGAGCAGAAGTGACATTTGGAGACTCTCAGCCTGTTTTATGTTTCTGTGTCCCTCCCGCTGGAATCATTGGAATCACAAACGTGCATGTGCGATTTCAGCATTCTCTGTTCTGTTTGCGATTTCAGCATCCTCTGTTCTGTTTGCACCCACGGCAGAATTGTTGGGTGCCTGGAATGAAACGCATGGCAGAGGGGAGCCAGGTGCCTTTTTGACTGTTCCCTAAGCCCTTGATCAAGTTGTGGGGTGGTGTTTGTCCCAGGGCACTTTGCCACCTCCATGGGCCTTTTCGCATCAGTAAGGGTCCTGGGGCTCTCTCCTCTTTACTCAGGGCGGTCTTCATGGATGAGTGGCAGGTCCTGGCCTGCAGCCCCCACCAGCTGGGCCACTCCATTAGTGGCTCAGTAACCTGGCCTGCCACAGCGCCACACCTGGGCCCCCGGCTAGTTCTCTGGGATCTTTCTGTCCCAGCTCAGTCATGCCTCCCTTTCCAAGGCTGTACGTCAGAGTTGTCAGCATTGGCACTATTGAGATTTGGGGCTGGGTTATTCTTTGTGGTGGGGCTGCCCTGTGCATTGTAGCCATCCCCAGCCCCTACCCACTAGATGCCAGTAGCACCCTCAGCGTGGCAATCAAAAACATCTCCAGACATTGCTTAGTGTCCCTTGGGAGGCAGAATCACCCTTGCCGCCGACCTTTGCACTCCGCAGAAGCCAGTAGGAGCGTGGAACAGCTTCCTCGGGTTGCTCCAGCAGTCGTCAGGAGAGCCTCGGGTGCCGAGGTGAAGCTGGTCTGCCACCGCCCCGGATCCATGTGGAACCAGAGCTGGATCATGTGGGGGAGTCTCAAATGCCCGGGCCCCGGCCTGTCTTCAGGAGCCCACGGTCTGATGGGGAAGGCGGTCACTGGAATCGTCAGAGAGAAGACACCTGAAGGGTTGTGAAGCTGCTGTGGGTGACAGTGACAGGCGTCTTAGATCTGGCTGCGAGCCTGGGGAATCATTCATGGAAGTGGTGGCATTTCATTCCTTCAGTGTCTCCTGAGAGCCACTTGTGGCCTAAGCACTGGACTAGGCCCTGGAGCTAGAAAACTGATGAAGACGTGGGCTGGGCACCGAGTGTACGGTCTACTGGGGGCATCAGGAGATGAATGAGGAGGTTTCCAAGGGGGGCGGGCAGGGGAACGGCCAGGGGAATGGCCAGGCGTTGCTGGTGTGCTGGGCGGAGGCGCTGGGTCCACAGGCCTAGGTTTGAGTCCAGCTCTCCCACTTGCCAGCTGGTGCCCTCAGGTGAGTCACTTCTCCCAGACCTCCAGCTCCTTGTTTACTTAGGGGGATCTTGAACATACAATCAGAAGCGGTGGCTCTGAAGTGCTTACCTGTTTGCTGGCCGAGTTCATTCATCCTTTCCACAAGTATCATTAAGCACCTACTGCGTGCTGAGTACTGGGGCCTCCGCAGGGAACAAAACAAAGCCCCGCCTCCGTGGAACTCATACTTTGTTGGGAGAGGAGAAAAAATCAGTTGTCTGTGAGAGCATATCAGGCAGTCTTAAGCACCTTTAGGAAACAAGGCAGGGTCAGAGGCTACAAAGAGAAGGAGGGGTCCGATTGGATGGGGGTTCGGGGGCTGCTGGTGAAGGAACATTGAGCAGAAACCTGAATAAGTCACGCCGCTATGGGGCGGGGCTGGTCCCTGGCAGAGGAAGCGCGGTGCAAAGGTCCTGAGACGAGCACGCTGCCTGCCGTGTGACACAGTAGCTGGGAGGTCAGAGTGGCTGAGTGGAGTGAGCAGCCTGGGGAGCGAGGAGAGAAGAAGAGGCTGGGGCAGTGGCCAAGCCCGGATCACAGGAGCGCTTACCAGGCTTACCCCCTGCGTGGTGGCCGCTGGATGGGTATGAGCCCTGGATCTGGTGGGGCTGGTGACAGGCCTGTCTGCAGAGGACTTGTCTAAGAAAGATGAAGATGCAACACCCAAACTCCTCCCGCCTGGCTAGATGGGAGCATGGAGCAAACCAACCTTTGCTGCCTGCTGTGGGGTGCCACGGGAGCAGATGGCGGCTTCACAGAGAAGCTGGGGGCCAGACTCCACGTTAATCCCATGGATGGCTTAAGGAGCTTCCCCCCACCAACCATGCGTGGTGCCTCTCTGTAAAGAAAAAATGCATTGTTTGTGAAGTGGATCAAGATGCGGCCTCCCAGAACGCTGCCCTTTTGAGGAATGGCTTGTCTTAGAAGGGAAGAGAAAAGCCAAATAGAATGTTCATCTTTTGTAAAGTTAAAAAAAAAAAAAAGCCAGCCTCCAAGGCTGAGAATCGATATTAATTTCATGGGCTTATGGGCAGTGAGATAAAGCAGGTTTCTGGCAGCCCTTTCCAGCCCTATTGGATTTTACAATCTTGAACTGTGAAGACAGCGAATAAAGGTATCAAGGGCTCTGCCCGTCTCCAGCTGTCTCGGGCCAGAGCTCATCCAAATCCCCCACCTTCCATCCCAGCCTGCAGCCCTCTGAAAGGCAGGTTGGATGGCAAGAAATGTCAGCTTGAGCCCTCGAAGACGGCTCACTACAAGGACAGTTGGGATTGTGGCTTTAGGAGGGATTTATGCAGCTCCTCTGGGGCAGGTGAGGACCACGGGGTCATGCTAGAGAGTCAGCTCAACGTGGCTGCCTGGGACACGTCTATGTGCCAGAGGGCAGCCAAGGGGATGACTGACTCTACATCTGGTTTTAGACCAGGGCTGCTCGTCCGGGCACCATTGAGGTAGGGCAAGAATGGGCTCAGCGTGCTGGGGACCATCCTCCTCTGCAACCCTGCCCTCCCTGCATTTACGAGCCCGTGCGTGGCACTGCCCGCACCAGCTAGCCTGGGCATCTTCCCTCTGTGTGATCCATTTCAGGGCCTGTTGCTTGGTCTTTCTAAAACTCCAGCTTCGTGGGGGTGACCCACACAAGTGAACCTTCGCCCCCTCCTTGTACTCTGCTATAGCCACTTTGAATTTCTCACTGGATGACTGTGCCGGGTTCCGCCACCTCCAGGCTCACACAGGCTGCTCCAACTGCCAGAAATCCTCACCCTTCTAGCTTTGCTTGGTGGCTTCTTACCCTTCCTCAGTTCTCAGTGTCCACGTCATGCCAGAAAAACCTTCTCGGCCCTTCTCCCCTATCCCCTCTCTGGCCCCGGCCCCAAGGCCACGCTGTGCCTAGCATGTTGTAGGTCCCAGTTGAAGTTGAATGAATAAATGAGTGAAAAGCCAAGGGAGAATGGCCACCCAACCAGTGCCTGGGATGGAGGCGCAGCTGTGGCCAGCAGCAGAAGCCCCATGCTCCCCCAATCCAGTGTCACCTCTTGTGCCTCCCTTCTTCCTCCGTATCAGGGTGGGCGGCTTCCCGGACTGCTCCCAGTCCTGTCCCAGCTCCTCCATCTTGAGTTCAGTGTGGACCTGCCTCCTCTTCACCCTGCAGGTCGCCAGCTCTCCAGATCCTGCTGACCAACACCAAAGTCCCTCGCAATACCAGGGCCCTTGTGGCTGGCGTCAGAAACAGGCTGCTCAAGGTGACTCTTGTTCCCTTCTTGGGCAGGTTTCAGGAAGGCCAGGACACAATTACATCTGGATTTTCGAGGTCTCCCTCTGGCTGATGGGTTATAGGGGGTGTGGTGGGTGGTGGGGGCCCTTAGGGAGGTGGTTTTGGCAGAAAAGAAGGTACCGTCCGTGCCCGTAGCCTGGCCAGGAAAATGACAGTGGTCGGGCTCGTTAGACACACTGACTTTGCAGCTGGGAAGGCAAAAAAACAGGCTCAGAAGAGAGGTGGTTTCCCCAGAGGATGGGCACGGGCTGTGTGAACACCTCCTCCCTCCACCCCACTGCTGGGGCAGCTGTCCTGCATCTGCCTGCCCCCAGGCCTCACCAGCCGTTCCTTCTTTTTTTCTCCAGTTCCCAGAGATCGTGGCCCCCCTCCTGACCTCAATAGATGCCATCTCCCTGGAGTGTGAGCGCGTGCTGGGAGAGATGGGGGAAGCCCCAGCCCCGGAGCAGTACCTCGTGCTGGAAGTAAGAGCCTGTCTGCAGGAACCGGGGTTACTGAGTCCACACCACTGTCCAAGGCAGTGGCTCTGCAATCTGGCTGTGCTCAGAATCCCCCGGAAGCTAGCACATAGAGGTCAGGACCTGCCTCTGGCCTATGCTCTCAGCTGGGCCCAGGTCTGTGCGTGCCATATAAGCGTATCTTATTTTCAGGCCTCTTCCTGGGTGATTCCGAGTAATTGGGAGAGTGCAAGGGAGGCCAGGGCCTGGCTCGTGCTAAGTGCAATGGAAACAGGTTTGGGTCACTTCTAAGGAGCTCTGGCCCACGTAGGTAGATGGGGATGTGGCTGATGCAGAGTGCTCTGTCGGTGCAGGGGTGACTTCTTGGTCACTCTCCTGCTATTGCTAACTTCATGGGTGCATTCAACAACTACTTGTCAACTGCCTGCTTTGGGTCAGACAGATCCTAACATTGTTTTTTCATCATTGCAACCCCATCCACTGCCATTTGCATAATTCTAGTGTAGAGGTTGTGACCTGGTACTTTGGGTGTGATCAGGCCTGTGTGTGAATCCCAGCTCCACTTCTGCTGGACGTGTGGCCTCGCTAGAGTGTCTTAAGAATGCTCAGATTAGACGGGCGCAGTGGCTCACCTGTAGTATTAGCACTTTGGGAGGCCAAGGCAGGTGGATTGCTTGAGTCCAGGAGTTCGAGACCAGGCTGGGCAATGTGGTGAAACTCTGTCTCTACAAAAAATACAAAAGTTAGCCAGACATGACGGTACATATCGGTAGTCCCAGCTACTCGAGAGGCTGAGGCAGGAGGATCACTTGAGCCCAGGAGGTCAAGTTTGTAGCCTGGGCGACAGAATGAGACCTTGTCTCACACACACACAAAAAATGCTTGGAGTCTCATGGGTGACACGCAAGCACAATGTCTGGTGTGCTATGAGCTTAGGG
Organism: Homo sapiens; assembly: GCF_000001405.40. NCBI lineage: Eukaryota > Metazoa > Chordata > Mammalia > Primates > Hominidae > Homo > Homo sapiens. The sequence continues at coordinate 109,592,290 of NC_000012.12, forward strand.
AACCAAAGAGCCCAGGCTCCCCCTGGACACAGTCCACCTGGCCTGGTGAATATGGGCTGTTAGCCATCTGGCTGCCCTTGCAGAATGAGAGGATCGGGTGGCCCCTAGCTGCCGTGGCTGTGCAGCAGCCGTCAGTGAAGGGACAGGAGAGGGGCGTGCGGTCTCCATGTCACCACAGTCCCTCCCCGCGCCCCGCACTCTGTAGTCATTGCCTGGTGTCTCCCGGTCCCCCGTGGGCATTCGAGTCTGTAGCCCCTGTGCTGAGTGGAAGCTGCCACTAAAGCAAGCCTTTTACAAATGATTCTTTTCACTTGATCCTCACACCCACCTCCCTGTGAAGTAGGTGTCTTATCCCTATTTTACAGATGTAAAAACTGAGGCCTGAAGAGAGACTTCCCCCAAGGTTATCCAGCTAGTGAGTGGCCGAGCCAGGGGTCCAGCCGACGGACTGGTCTGTCCCTTTATTCAACAGATCTGTCATGAGCACCTACTATGTGCCAGGGCAGCGCCTCCATCGAATTCCTGTGTTTCGGCCCTCATTCCCTCAGTCTTTGTCTTCCTAGCTCTCAATTCCTTCCACATAGAAAGGAGGGAACACAGTCCCCCCGAGTAGGAAATCAATAATGATAGAATACTGCCTAAAATACACCCTGTCGAGTCCCTGGAGAATGCCACAGAACAGCACGTTGATTATACATTGTGTGTATTTTTGGCTGTGGCAGCCGCTGAAATGTGCAGCTCAGCTCCTGGACAGCTTTGCACTCAAACCAGCGAACTGTTCTCCTGTGTCACAACCTGTCATCTGATCCTTGACAGATTTTGGATCAGAATGTGACAGGTGTCTGGAACCTGCCTCGGCAACGTGACACCTGGTGCTCAGGCGCAGAGAGCGGCCCCCAGAAGTCTTCTCTCACATCCAGCCCATCAGGCTGGTGAGAGGCACCCGGGGCTGCCACCAGGCCATCATGCCTGTCTGCTCATTTGTCAAAAATGGTGAGCTTGGCGCAGAGCGAGGTATGAGGCAGGCTGTTGGGGAGGGCCACTCCAACCCTGCCTGACCGGCCATCCCCATGCGGGAGAGCTAGGTGGGCCTCCGCAGAGATGCCTCAGTGATTGGCAACTCCTGGTATACAGGCAATCCAGGTGCCCCGGAACAGAGCTTCACACGGAAGTGAGGAATGCCAGGGGGTGCTCTCAGAGGCAGGGTAGACAGGAGCTTCATGTCAGGCAGACCCGCCTTCCAGTGCCAGCTTGGTACCTACTAGCTCAGTGATCGTGGGCAAGTCACTTCTTCTCTGAGCCTCTGTTTCCCCTTTTGTAAAGTGGGGATGATGCTAACGTACCCATAAAAATACTAACAGCACATATCTCGTGCCAGGCATTGAACAGAAAACTCACCTTGTTTCGTCTCAGGGCAAAGAAGCAGATTTTTTTTTTTTTTTTTTTTTTGAGACAGAGTCATCTTGCTCTGTCGCCCAGGCTGGAGTGCAGTGGCACAATCTTGGCTCATTGCATCCTCCCAGGTTCAAATGATCCTCGTGCCGCAGCCTCCTGAGTAGCTGGGATTACAGGCACACGCCAACATACGTGGCTGATTTTTGTATATTTAGTAGAGATGGGGTTTCGCCATGTTGGCCAGGCTGGTCTCAAACTCCTGACCTCAAGTGATCCACCCGCCTCGACCTCCCAAAGTGCTGGGATTAAAGACGTGAGCCACCACACCCTGCTGAGGCAGATACTCTTATGACCCCGGTTTACAAGCAGGAGACAGACCCAGTGCAGAAGACCTTGCTCAAGGACACACGACCAAAAAGGGGCAGAGCAGAGACTCGAACACAGGCCTACTTGACTCCAAATCCCATGGTTTTTACTTCCTGATGGCTGGGACCGTGGCTGGGCACCCATCCTTAGAGCCCCAGCACGTTGTGGGTGTTTGGTAAATGAAATCTAACTACTGGGTGCCTGGGCAGTGGAAGCTGTGAAGTTTTATTTTTTCATCCACATGCATCTTGTTGGATCCTTAAAGAGCAGGAAGTTTATCCTGCATAACTGAAGAAACCTAGACAAACAGCTGTTTCCCTGCTTATGGCCTTGCTGGAGTTACACCTAGTTCTTATTCTGAAACCAGTCCCCAAGGCAGCTGTAGGGAGGCATGTTATTTGAAACTTTTTCTCTTGCAAATGGCAGAAATCCATTTCAACCAGACTTTTGTAGAAAGGGAATGTATTGGCTCTCAACTGAGAAGACCAGAGGTAAATGGCTTCAGGTATAGCTCAATCCAGGGGCTGAAACAATGTGTCGGGAATCTGTCCATCTGCCACGTAATATCTGATCATGTGGCAAGATAGGTCATCTTGGCGACTTGTGTCTGAAGTTAATTATTTTAGCAGCTCTAGTGGGAAGGGGCAGAGGAAACCCTGGGAGGGCTGTGATTGGCCCAGCTTGGACCACATGCCCATCCCTGATCAGTCACCAGTGCCAGAGGCTTCTGTGACCAGCCCTAGGATATGTGCTCACTGCTGTGGTGAAGGTATGCTCAGCTCTACCCAAGCTCCGTGAGAAATGCTGCAGGGCAGAAGGATTCTTTTACAAGTGGAGAGGGCCAGGGTGCCAGGTAGGCAAAGCCGTTGGCTGTCTCCAGCCAACAACTGTCAGATGGACGAGGCAGGCTCAGGGGTGGGCATAGGACCTTGGCCTCAGGCAGGCCAAGTGGGAACAGATGGAACCTTCTCCCCTAGGAGCTCATTGACATGAACCAGCACCATCTGAATGCCCTCGGCGTGGGCCACGCCTCTCTGGACCAGCTCTGCCAGGTGACCAGGGCCCGCGGACTTCACAGCAAGCTGACTGGCGCAGGCGGTGGTGGCTGTGGCATCACACTCCTCAAGCCAGGTATCCCGGGGGTAGGTGGGCCAGGCTGCCAGCCTGGGCTCCTAAGAGGGGTCCACCTGGAGAATTCCCTTGAAAGGAAAAAGAGACCTGGAAACAGGTCTCAGCTCCGCTGTGTGGCCTTGGGCAAGTTAGTTAACCTCTGGTCTTTGCTTCCTCATTGGTAAAATAAGGATGAGAGTATCTAGCTTGCAAGATCGTTGCCCAGATTCAAGCAGGAAAGTGCACCTAGAGAGCCTGGTGCAGGGCTGGGCTGTGGCTGGGGCTCCTGTCATCGGGGCTGTCCGCACAAGCTTGGGAAGTAACCAGGGCATTGTCACTCTCCACGTCTGCCTAACCTTGCCCCACTTGTACCCTTGATGTGGTCAGGATGCGGTTGATTTTGCTACAAAACGAAAGGGTTTCCTTCCCGTTGGTTTGGGGAAAGAGGAAGACCGAGTAATGGGCTTGGCTTAGGAAGCTCCCTGGTGCCTGGGGGCCTGGCAAGGGGCTTCTGCTAGTGTTTAACCACCTGACACCTACCTCTGCCCTCAGGCTCGCTCCTGGCCTACAGTAGGCACTAACCGGTCCCACCTGCCTCCATTTCCCTCTGTGCTCCTTGTCCCCTCCTTCCTTCCTTCTTTCTCTTTCTGTCTTTATCTCCTCCTCTCTGTTCTTCATCCTTCCTTTCCCCTCTGCTTTGCACTGAGCCCCCTTAGGCTCCAGACATCCCCTCACACTCCATGATGGCTCCCAGGCCTCAGGAGGTGGCCACATCCTCACTCCAGCCAACCCCAACTGTTGGTTCCTAGTTCAGAGCCCATGACGATGGTGGGACTTGACATTTCTGGAGTGTGCCCGCTGTGCCAGGTGTTGTGCCAGGCACTTTACCTGCGTTATTTCCTTTAAGCCTCCCTGAGATCTGCACGGGGAGTCATCATTAGCCCCATTCCCAGATGAGGAGACTGAGACTGAGAGAGGGGAAGTCACTTGTCTGAGGCCACACGGCCAGTACAAGGCAAGGCCAAGTCCTGTGACTTGAGAGCCCATGTTTTTAACTCTTGCTCCCTAAACCCCTGGGGGTGCAAGGCTGGGCATTCCAGTGCACGGAGGGGCTGCAGGTAACCTTGGGCTTTATGGCCTGTTGGCTCAGGTGGGTCACAGCCAGGAAGGCACAGCAGGAAGGCCTGGGCTTTTGCCTTGAATATGATGAGCTTCTCCCACGGAGCGGAGAGTTGTCAAGGGTGACCTGCCTTCCCTCCCCGCAGGGCTGGAGCAGCCAGAAGTGGAGGCCACGAAGCAGGCCCTGACCAGCTGTGGCTTTGACTGCTTGGAAACCAGCATCGGTGCCCCCGGCGTCTCCATCCACTCAGCCACCTCCCTGGACAGCCGAGTCCAGCAAGCCCTGGATGGCCTCTGAGAGGAGCCCACGACACTGCAGCCCCACCCAGATGCCCCTTTCTGGATTATTCTGGGGGCTGCAGTTCGACTCTGTGCTGGCCAGCGAGCGCCCAGCTCCTGACACTGCTGGAGAGGCCCCAGCCGCTTGGCGATGCCAGCCAAGCTCTGCAGTCCCAGCGGTGGGACCTAGGGAGGCATGGTCTGCCCTCTGCATCCTCTGGAGCCAGCCGAGCAGGAGGCCTAGGAGGGTCCTCTGAGACTCCAGACCTGAGGCGAGAAGGGCTGCTTCCCTGAAGCTCCCACAGTCCCATCTGCTTCAGGCCCCCGCCTTGGCCTGTGTTCTTCCTGGCCGCCTGGGTCCAATGCTCAGGTGCTGGGGCCTGGTTCCCGGAGAAGTGTGCCTTCTCTCTCCCTTTTCAGGGACCGCCCCCTGTCTCTCAGGGCCAGGCCTCTCCCTCCTCCAGGAAGCCTTCCCCTACCCCTTGTCGCCCCTCCCTCCCAGAGCACCTGCTGTCTGGGTGGCTCACTCAGCACTTGGTGTGGCCTTCCCTTCTACCTAGCGGGATGGGGCTCCCCCAGGGGCTGTCCCGGAGGCGGTGGGCCTGGTTAAATAAGGCAGGGTTTATATGCACTTTCTTCCGATCTGTACCTGAGAGGTTTGTGGAAAAGATGGCAAATGGGGAATAAAAAGATTTTGTGTCAACAGTAGAGACTCCAGGCCACCAGCACCTCCCTCTGTCCCTGTCCCCTCTCCAGCTGTTTCCTCCATGGAGCTCTTCAGCAATGGAGGGAAATAGGGTTTGGGGTCACTTTGTTGTGCGTCTTGGGGATGAGGTGGCTTTTCCCAGATGGCCCTTGCTGGAGAGGGACTGGGACACGGCTCTCAGTCCATCAGCACAACTCTAGGCTGCTGCTGCGGAGGGAGAAGTTGAGCTTCCTAGCTCCAGAATCACAAGCACCCACGAGAGCACAGACCTGTGTAAGACAGGAAAGCAGAACCTGCCATCGCTCCTGGGGCGCGCCTTCCTTTCTGAAATGAACTGGCTGGATGGAGAAAACAGACTCAAATGTTCTGGCCCGGGTGCCTGGCACTCCCCACCCCCGCCCCCCACCGGCCCTATTTGAACTTTATATTGCAGTCAGCTTGGTGCTTTCCGAAATGCCATTAGCCATCAGGAAACCCTTGTAGTTGGTGCCTTGCCAGCCAGAACCTCTGGGACCCACGGACCTGCAAAGAGGCCGAGTGGAAAGGTGGGGGCCGGCGCAGGGATTTCAGGATGAGGTGAAAGCGATTCAGTGCGCGTCTGCCCTTGGCCACTAGGGGGCAGCTGGCGGCCTTCCCTGCTGTTGTCTTCCTGCAGGGTGAGAGGAGCAGGAGCCGAGCTCCACCCCCACGCCAGCCTTGGGCCCGGCCTGGGATCACTGCTGGGAACGTGAGAGTGAAGGGAGGACGCCTACCCCAGCTTAACTTGTAGAAATGGCCCCAGATCACTGATGGCTGTTCCCTGCCCCTTCCCTTCAAAACACAACGCATAAAGCAGTAATACTAATTAATACTGAACGCTCACTGTGGACTAGGCGTGTTTACGCATCGCCCCTTCTCATCTCTGCCCCGACCTCAGTGTCATTGCTAGTCTCATCCCCGCTTTACAGACCAGGAAACCAAAGGTCAGAGAGATCGAGTAACTGGTGCAAGTCCACACAGCTCATCAGCATCTGAGGCCGGATTCAAATGGACTCCAGAGCCTGCTCTTAGCCCCTACGTGTGTCTGCTGGGTGCGGCTCTGTGTGCAGGCTCACTGCGATTTTTTAGCTTTCTGTGCTCAGGCTCGTTTTTCTGGATTCGGATGTATTTGACCGGGGTGGGGCTCGGACCTGCATGTTTTCCTCCCCACGCGATTTTAATGAACAACCAGGCCAGAGGCTGCTGTGCCCTCAGTGATGGCGCTGGCTGACAGCCAGCCTCCAGCCTTTAGGAGGTGGGCCTGGGAGCCTCCCCAGGCTTCCATAGATGTCCGCGGCAGCTGTGAGATGGGTGCAGGGGACAGAGGCTGAGACCCCCAGAGCCCGTCTGCTCCTTGAGGCCCTCTCTCTCTCATTCCCTGGGGACAGGATGTCACTCCTGGGGCAGGGGCCAGCTCAACACTCTTGCTCCAGTGAAGCAGCTGCCGGTGCGCTTTGGCCAGAGCAACCTTTCAACCCAGCCACCCCTGCGGCCACCATATGGGCCTGGTGTCACACTCCTGGCTACCTTGTAGACAGTTGGCACTTGCGGCTGTCACCCCTTCTCATTGCCTATTGCAGTGGTTCTCGCTCTCAGAGCTGCACCTCGGAACCACCTAAGGACCCACGAATTCCTGACTCCACCCCAGATATTCTGAGTTAATCTGTCTCAGCGGTATCTTTTTAAAAAGACATCTTTTAAAAGCTCCCAGGTGATTCTAACGTGTGACCAAGCACCACATGGTGCTGCACACCTGTAGTCCCAGCTACTCAGGACGCTGAGGCAGGAGGATCGCCTGAGCCCAGGAGTTGGAGGCTGCAGTGAGCTATGATGGTGCCACTGCACTCCAGCCTGGATGACAGAGTGAGACCCCGTCTCAAAAATATTTTTAAAAAATAAGAAAATGCAGCCAGGGCTGAAGATACCGAACTGGATGACCCCAGGGTCATCTCTGCACGCCATTGTGGTGGTTGAGCACTTCAGCCCTGCCCACCCCCTGGCCATGTGACCTTGGGCAAGACAGCTTACCTCTGGAGGCCACAGCTTCCTCATCGGGAAAGTGGGATTCACTAATACCCACCTTATGGAGGTTTCGTGGGGATCAATGAGAAAATATACAGAAGGCCCTTGACACAGTGCGTGGCACACGGTAAGTGCTCAATAAATACTCATTATTATAACTGTCTTATGCTGAGAGATAAGGGTGTCTTCCAGAGCCCCAAAACTTCAGAATGGTGCACAGAGCTGGCTCAAGGCGCCCTGCCCAGATGGTCCAAAGCCCCTAGGTTGAGACCCCTTGGGTCGCTGTTGGAGAAACACACCTAAGGCCCACCGGCTTTCCCACCTCCCTGCTTCCTCTGCAAAGAGGCGGTCACATAGCACTGACACCTTCTTTGCGAGGGGAACAGCAGTGCCTTTCAGGTCATAAGCTGGAGCCGCTCCCAGGGTCTGCAGCCTGAAGTTCTCAGAGAATTTCCCTGGTTCTGGCAAGGGTCTCACTTTGGGAGGCAGGCAGGAAATACTGTGGTTCTTTCCAGACAGAGTAGCTGCTATGGTTGCACTGATGTCGTCTCTGTCAGTGAGGAGTCCTTTTATTTATTTTTAGACAGTCTCACTCTGTTGCCCAGGCTGGAGTGCAGTGGCGCCATCTTGGCTCTCTGCAACCTCTGCTTCCCAGGTTCAAGTGATTCTCCCGCCTCAGCCTCCCAAGTAGCTGGGATTACAGGTGTGTGCCACCACGCCTGGGTAATTTTTGTATTTTTAGTAGAGACAGGGTTTCCGCCACGTTGGCCAGGCTGGTCTCGAACTCCTGACCTCAAATGATCTGCCCACCTCGGCCTCCCAAAGTGCTGGGATTACAGGCATGAGCCACCACACTTGGCCTGGTGAGGAGTCTTTCCTCACCAAGGTTTCTGTGGCCTGCTGGCAGCCAGTCGCGTTGGCTGGCTGGCTCCAGGTCAGCAAGCGTGGTGGGGGGCCGGCCCTGCCCTTCGCTTGTGCTTGGCCCAGCCAGCTCCTTTCTCCTCCACGGCTGTTTTCCTCCTTGTTTCCTCAGCTAGCGCCCTTTGGAAGACACCTGGCTCAGGGGCCCGCACCTCGCAGGTGCTTCCTTCCCCAGCCCTTCCTGGTTTCCAGCTAATTTTGGACAAGTTCTTTGGCTGTCTCTTAGCACCTACTGTCTTCTAGGAAGGGGCAGAGAGCTGGATTTGAGGCCAGGAGCTCTGGTTCCTAGTCTGAGCTCTTTAGTTCTCAAATTATAATATTTTTACTATTACAGAAACAGTGTAAATACACTGTAGAAAGAAAATACAGATTAGCAAAAATCACATCAAAGCACTGTGTTTTTACCATACAGAGATTACCCCTGTGAACAGCTGCCACCTTTCCCTCTGTGTGTGTGTGTGTGTGTGTGTGTGTTCATGCTGTTCGATAAAGTGAGATCATACTGTACATGCTGTTTTGTTACCTACCTTTTTGGTTTCCAGTCACCTTTCTCTGTCAATATGTTTCATCTCTAATGCCCAGGCTATAGTCACATTTCCTCCAGTTGGGCCAGGTGTCCGGCACCCTGTCTAATACCACATACCTGGCTGTTACAGCCCTGGCTTCTCTTTTAATCTAGCACAGCAGCCCTACACACACACACACACACACACACACTCATACCTATTTTTCTCCATGATATGACTTGCTTAAGAGACCCAGCGGATCATCCTGCAGAATGCTGTGTCTTCTACACTGGTCATTCAGAATCCAGCCCCTCCACATGGCTTTGGGAGGTCTTGAACCCTTTACTGAGCACCTACGATGTGCTCAGCATGGTGCTAAGTGCTTTGTGTGCTTTATCCCTGTGAATCATTTCAGTCCATTGAGCTAATTACCGTGCTTATCCCCATTCTGTTGGTGAGTAAACTGAGGCCCAGAGTAGGGAAGTGACTTGCCCAGGGTCACGTGGCAGAGTGGGATTTGCACGCAGTTCTGTGTAACTTCAGGGCCCTGCTCTTAGCCCGTGTCTAGACTCTCCCCGGGGAGGTGACTGGTGACCTCTCCGAGCTCCCTCTCCCCACCATACCTAATTGACAGAACTGAGTTGTCACATCTGCCCCAGCGGTGCTGGCCCAGCTCACCCCTGCTGCCCGCTTGGCCCTGGCTGTGAACACCTCAGACCCCCAACCTACACAACAAACAGGCAAAGGGAGCAACCTGCCAAAGAACATGATGTGTGGTCTCACAGCACTGTGCCCGGAGCCCCCACCTCCCCATATCCAAGGAAAACCTGGCACTGGGCCGAACCTCACACCTCACACCTCATGTCCTCAAAACTGAAACAGACAAGGGCAATGGTCTCCCAATGAATGCTTCAGTTGCTTGAATCCAAAAGTGTCAGGGTCAGGAGGACCCTTGGAGATCACACAGTCCATCACCTCGTTTGCTGTGAATGCGGAGACCAAGACTCAGAGAGGGCAAGAGATTGCCTAAGGTCACACAGTGAGCCACCTTGTCCTCTTCCTTGCCATTTGGTTTTCTCCATGCGGCAGGGTTGTCACAGGAAAAGCACTTGCAATCCAGAGATCCGTCTTCAGGCCCAGCTTCTGCACCTGCTGGCTGCGTGACTTCCAGCCGGGACTCCTCTGTACCCCCAACTCGGCCTCAGTTTCCTCAAATGTAACATCCCAGGCAGGGTGCTAAACCCCTCAGGCATCATTCCACTTACTTCCCACAGCAACCCTGCAGACCAGGTACAACAGAACCACAATTCTTTGTCCAAAATCCTGGGGCCAGATGTGATGTGGAATGGAGGATTTTGCAGGTTTTAGGGAGACCCCCTCCCGGCCCATGTTTCATTCCACGTGGCATCTGGGGCAGCACCACCAACCCCTGACTCTATATGAAAGGTACGAAGAGTCCCACTAAGTCGAGTGAAGGCCATAAATAATATGTGAGCCTATGTGGCACTGGCCTTTTTTTTTTTTTTTTTTTTTTGAGACAGGGTCTTGCTCTGTTGCCCAGGCTGTACTGCAGTGGCAAGATCACAGCTCACTGCAGCCTCGACCTCCCAAGCTCAAGCAATTCTCCCACCTCAGCCTCCTGAATAGCTGAGACTACAGGCATGCGCCACCACCCCCTGCTTCTTTTTCTACTTTTTGTAGAGATGGGGTTTTGCTATGTTGCCCAGGCTGGTTTCCAGTTCCTGGGCTCAAGCAATCCTCCCACCTCAGCCTCCCAAGGTGCTGGGATTACAGGCATGAGCCACCATGCCCAGCCTGCTGCATTTGCTGACAAATGAATTTTGATGCCAAGGCCCTGGGTTTCAGAGTGTCTTGGGTTGTGGGCCTGAATTATTTCCCCATTTTGCAGAGAAGCAGACAGATGCTCTCAGACAGGCTCAGTGGCTCACCCGAGGGAGTGTGCTCAGGTTTGAACCCTGTCAGTCTAGCTGGACGAGACCTCCTGCACCGCAGGGTCTGACCAGGGCCCTTCTTTGTCGCTCAGGGTGAAAGGGCTCTGTACTGGCCAGTGGGGGGTGAGACGCCATTCTGCCTGGTGCAGCGTGAGGGCAAGGGGCCCCGGGTCCCAGGTACACTGGCTCAAGCTATTAAGTCAAACCAGAGTCTTCTGTCTTATTTTTTTTCCACCATAAACCTTGTAATGTGACAAACGAGGCTGCAGAAAAGTGGCCAAGTGACAGGTCCATGACATAGCTGCCGGACTCTCTTGGGGTTTCTGTTTCCTCCCAAAAACCAGGGAAGCAATGAGGGGGCCACAGCCCGAGGGAGAGGGAGGGGGCTCCTTCTCCTCCCAGACCAGCCCCTGCCTCCCTCCAGACCTAGGGAGGGCATGGGGGAGGCCTGAGCGCATTGATTCTCACCACACTCAGGCTCACAGAGCAGGGAGCCACTTACTTGCACAGAGAGGGTAAGAGACGGAATGCCAACTGAGCCTCTTTTACAGGCATCTGAGCCCAAACCTCCATGCTCCCTCACTCAGATTAACAGGGTCTGTTATACGTGGTTTTTCGTTTGTTTTTTAATCTCTCTCTCTTTTTTTTTTTTTTTTTTTAGAGAAAGGGTCTCCCTCTGTCACCCAGACTGGAGTGCAGTGGCGTGATCACAGCTCATTGTAGCCTTGAACTCCTGGGCTCAAGCAATTCTCCCATCTCAGCTTCCTGAGTAGCTAGAACCACAGGCTCATGCCACCATGCCTGGCTATGTGTTTTATTTTTTTGTAGAGACAGGGTCTCTATGTTGCCCAGGCTGGCATGTTGTCCTGGGCTCAAGCGATCCTCCCACCTCGGCCTCCCAAAGTGTTGGGATTACAGGCGTGAGCCACTGCACCCAAGCTGTTATACATATTTTAAATCTGATCAGGAAAATATCCATTTTGAGGCATTTGGGTAATGCACTGGCTGAGGCCACGGTGGCCCCCTTGGATGTTGAAGGGGCACCGAAGCTGTCCTAGGCACATGGGCATCCTCCCTGCCCAAAGAAAGAAGCTGCCAGACTCCACAGCCACTGCAGGCAGGATCCAGCCCCTTCTTCATGAGCACTATCCATTCAGCAAATGTTAAATGCACACGTTCTATATGCCAGGAACTGGGCCAGGCCCCAGGGAAGTGAGGTGACTGACCAGAGCTGCTCCTGCCCCGCTTCGGCATGCTGGCCGTGGTTCCGGAGGCTTTCGTGTCACTTCCTCCGCCCATACTCATGGCGAGCCCAGGAGGAAAGTGTGGTGAACCCCATTTTACATAGCAGGAAACTGAGGCCCAGAGAGGAAGTCTCTGCTCCAAGTCATGCAGTCATCAGGTGCAGAAGCTCGGCCCTGAGACAGGTCTCTAGATTCCAAGCACAGTGCTCTCCTGTGTCACCCTGGCTGTCTTGGCCCCAGATGTGGAGGTGAGCATTTGTGGGAGAAGGGAGGTGAGCAGGATGTGGAGAGGGGAAGGCAAGGAGAAAACCAAATGAAAGAGGACAAGGTGGCTTGCTGGGTGACTTCCGGCAGGTCTCTTGCCCTCTCTGGGCCTCATTGTCCCCATCCATTGAAATAATGGTGTCTGTTTACTCTGCCAGAAGCTCCGATGCTCTCATTTAATCCTCCTAGCAATCAGTATTTTGTGGACTCTGGGCTCAGACAGATCTGGCCTTTGATCTGTGGCCTGACTACTTCCAGCTCTGGGGCCTTAGGCAGGTCACATTATTTCTCTGAGCCTCAGGTGCCTCATCAGTAAAGTAGAAATACTAGGAAATAATGCACATCTAAAACATAGCTCAGGCTGGGCGCAGTGGCTCATGCTGTAATCCTAGCACTTTGGGAGGTCGAGGCGTGCAGATCCCTTGAGCCCAGGAGTTGGAGACCAGCCTGGACAACATGGCAAAACCCCGTCTCTACCAAAAATACAAAAAAATTAGCCGGACATGGTGGCACATGCCTGTAGTCCCAGCTACCTGGAAAGCTGAAGTGGGAGGACTGCTTGAGCCCGGAGGTCAAGGCTGCAGTGAGCTGAGATCGCGCCATTGCACTCCAGCCTGGGCGAAAGAGCGAGACTTCATCTTAAATAAATAAATAAATAAATAAATAAAACGTAGCCTGGCACCTAGTACTTAGACTCAGCACCCGGGGGATAGGAACTATTGTTATTATCAGAGAGGGGGAAACTGAGGCTCAGAGAGGCGACGCGACAGCTCAGAAGTGGCCAAGCCAGGATTTGAATCCAGTAGGACTGACTCTAAAGCCTGGGGCCTCCTCCCCTTTCATCACTAGGCAAGGCTAGGTTTTGCTGACATGTCCTGTCCCCAGAGGGAGATTAGAGGGAAGAGCCACCCCTTTCAGCCCTGAGGGACTTAAGCAACTAGTTGGATCTGGCTGGGCTGCCTGAGACCACAATGTGAGCCAGTGATGATCACAGGTCTGGAAGTTGGAGGACACAACCTTGGAGGAAGAGACTCCCCTCGAACCGAGCACCTGCCTTCTGTTGTCAAGACAGCCACATCTGCTCCATTTCCCCTTTGACTTCACTGGGCAAGGGATGTTTTGTGCACACAGCTGGCCTTGTCCTTGGCAGGCATCAGAGCGGCTCTCACTCGCCCCACGTTACCATCTCCTACCATCTGCCTCAAAGAGACACATCCACCACTTGATGGACGTTGGTCCATCAAGATCATTCCCCGATAGAGCTACAAGGACCTACACTCTGCAGATGAGGAAACTGAGGCACAGAGATGGGTCACGCAGTATGGTTGTGGCAGAGCTGGGACTCAAACCCAGGCTCTGAATGGCTGAGGGTGCTGGGTCAAGATGGGGCATCCCAAGGTCAGGAAAAAGAGCAAGAGAGCTGCTAACGTGTCCTCACTGGCCCTGGGAGATGCTAGTACCTCTGCTGATGCCAGTAGTCAGTTTTGACCAGAGTTGGCTCCACGGAGGGCTGAGGGCACGTGGATGCAAGAGTCACGGCTTTGATGAGGAGTAGGGTGAAGGTGTGTGGCGAGGCCAGGATCGGGACTCCCCACCTCCCCACCTGCCTTGTGTGGTTGAGGAGAGCACTGTGCAGGGAGCCAGCATTTCTAAATGCTGTGTGACTTAGGTGAGTGGCTTCCCCTTTCTGGATCTCGGTCTCCTTTTCATATCTGAGATGTTATTCCCAGACCCATGAGAAGCCCCCGGGGGCCGTGGCCTGGTCTTGTTCCCCGCCTGCATCTCAGCATCACTCTGATAACCTCTCCCTGCTCAGGGGTCTCAAACTCACAAGCCTCCAGGGACCAGGCAGGCAGCCACAAGCCAGGCTTGGGGAGGACGCGGCAGGCCCCTGGCCCCAGCTCCAGCCAGCTGTTGCCCTGCAGGGTGGTGAACCCACCATCCAAACCTTTCTATTTAATTTTTAAAAAGAATTCAGAAATCTGGAGTTGTGGATAAAATTTGATTTTTAAATACCGTTCAGTAATAAAACCAAATTTTAAACAATAACAAATGATTATGTCAAGCCCGGGTGCAAAATGGAAACCACCCCAGGGTTGAGACCTTCAGAAGCCGGGCCCCTCTGGCTCTGGGGAGTGAGCTGGGGCATGGGGGTCACCCCCAGGGGTGGGGCCCCCCCTGGAATCTGATTACCCCTCAGTGCCCCACGAAGCAGCAGGCCTGCGGGTGGCGGGGCGGCAGGGGCACCGGCGGCTGGGTTGTGAGCTCATCCCCGGGAGGCACAGATGGTATTTTTTTTTATCAGTGTCAGCACGGACTTCTTTCTGCTCTGATGACTAGATTCTAAAGAGGCAGTGACATTATTTGAGATAACAGAGGGAGCAGAAAAAGGGTCAGCAATGGAGAGAAAACGGCAGAGCCAGCAGATAAAGGGGAGGCCGGAGGGGGCGGAGCACCCTCGCTGGGGGTGCACCCCCCCATTCTTGTGATTCCTGCTCCCTAAGCCTGGCTCCCTGTGGTGGGGGCTGGAATGCCGCCCGGCCCAGGGCAGCGGAGAGGCCCAGACAGCTGCGCCGAGCCGCCCGCTCTGCTCCCCGGCAGCCCTCCTTGGCTGCCCGGCCGCCCATTCCGCCTTTTCAATTCGATTCAATTAGGCCGCCCCGCTCGGAAGCTTGTCTCCTCTGATATCCAGTTTAACTGACAGGGGATTAGTGCTGTTTGTATTACACACACACTCTCTCTCCGGCTGCCAAACTGCTGGCAGGGCCCTGGGACCCGGGTTATTTATGGAGCTGGCTGGCCATACCTTCCCTCTCGGACCTGCTTCCTTTGGAAGCAGGGGGCTGGGGGCCCTGCTCTGTGCTCCCCCTCCATCCCAACCCCACCACTTCCTGATCCAGGGGCCTGAGGGCCTGGGCAATGGAGCAGAAGAGCCCAGATAGAACTGGGTTCGAATCTCAGCTCTGCCACTTGCTGGCTGTGTGACCTTGGGTGAGCAACATTGCCTCTCAGCCTCAGTTTCTTTATGTGAAAAATGGAGACGAGGAACCGGCTCATCAGGTGGTTGTGGGGATAAAGCGAGGAGGCAGGGGCAGGGCACTGAACACAGGGCCTGCGTATTCACTGTGCATGTTCACTCAGCGCATGGGACGGGGTGACGATTCTGCACTGGGTGCTGTGCTGAGTCACAGAGGAGGTAGTGGTGGGCCATGCTGATCCAGCCTGCCTTCCAGAAGCCCACACTCAGGTGCAGGAGAGAAAAATGAACATGGAGTCCCTCCCGGTGCTCACACAGGGAGCCCTGGCTAGATGGGAGCATTGATGACAGTGATGATGATGGAGATGGAAACAAGTGCCACCCCAGGCCCTTTGCCTCTGCTGTTCCCTCTGCCTGGAACATCCCCCCGACCCCCCCACCCCCGCCACACACACACACACCTCCTCCGCACCCTCACACTTCACCTGGCTGGCATGTGGCCTCAGTTTACCACTCACCTCCTCCAAAAGCCTTCCCTGACCCACCCTCCTCCTAATGCAGTTCTCCCCTCTTGCCCTCCATCTCTCCCTTTGCTTTATGTCCAAATGTGCCATCTGTTGTTGACTTGTTGCATCGCCTGTCTCCTCAGGAAACTGCGCCTTCCTGAGGGCACACATAGGAGCCCACTCACCGGTCCCCCTGAGTCTAGCACAGTGCCTGGCTCATGCTAAGAGCTTGAGTCTTTCTGGATGAATGGATGCATAAAGGAATGAATGAATGAACAGAGAAGTAGACAGACAAAGGCCCCCTTGCCTGCAACATGGCCATCCTGCTCAGCTCAGTACATCTGGCTTCCCTAGGCCACCTGCCCAGCCCTCCAAAGGGGTTTGCTGGGTCTTGGAATAGGTGGAGGTCAGGTGCTGGTCCAAAGCAGGTGTGGATGCTTCTCTTCTTATCCTTGCTTTACTCAAAGGGAAGGAAGGGCCTTTATAGACCTTTCCTCTCAGCATTCAGGGGACTAGTGAGTACTTTGAGGTGATGGGCTGGAAGGCCCCAGGCCTAGGAAATGTCCTTATTTTGGGGAAGGGCCTCATGCTGCCAGGTCCCGTCTGCATCTTCTCCCTCACTCCGTTTCACAGATCTTGGGTGTGGGGGCACTGGCCCTGACATGCAGGTCTGAACATTTCTACAATTCAATGCAATGAAATAGTAGCCATTACTTACTGCACACACTGGTGCCAGGCTTAACACCCATGACCTCATTTCATTCTCACAAGAGCTCTCCATTCCCCAGAAGAGAAACCTGACAGTCAGAGTTGTGGTGGGGTGTGCCTGACATCACCCAGCCAGGAAGGGGTGAAGCTGGGATCAACCCCAGGACTCTGAGGTTCAATATCTGCTCATTCATCTAACATCTGCCATGTGCCAGACACTTTGGTGTGCGCTGTCTCCCGATGTCCTGAGAAGTAGGTATTCTATGCCCCACTTTGCAGAAGGGAAATTTGAGACTCAGAAAGGTGAAGTGGCTGAACCTCAGTCTCACAGCCTGCTAGGGGCAGAGCTGGCTGGAAACAAGGGTCTGCTTGAGCTCTCATCCAGTTTATAACCTCTACCCTGTGGTTTCTTCCTCAACTCAAGGCCCTGGCCCTGGGGTGTTTCAGATCGATATAGGGCGTGGGTGGGCAGGGAGGGCACACATCTATCAAGCAGCAGGTGCTGAGTTTCTCAAGAGCCCCTGAAATATGACACAGTCCCTGCTGGTAAGGGAGATGTCATCCAGTTACAAGAATATCAAATAAATATGTAAAGAGTTACAAGAATTCAATGACATATAGGAATGTTGAGTACTCTCCCAGGGTGCATGCGTGACTCACAAGTCTGAGCAGTTGGGCAGGGAAGGCAACCTTGAAAGATACATGGATTTGGAAACAGAAGCCCACAAAATAATCATTACAATTACAATGAACTGATCATTATG
Source organism: Homo sapiens (assembly GCF_000001405.40). Classification (NCBI taxonomy): domain Eukaryota; kingdom Metazoa; phylum Chordata; class Mammalia; order Primates; family Hominidae; genus Homo; species Homo sapiens. Next base: position 109,609,147 of record NC_000012.12, read on the forward strand.
ATGATGATAATAATCATTAATAATGACTACAATTCAGCCCCATATTTGTAGGTCTTGCTGTTCCCATTTCACAGACAAAGATAATGAAGCTCAGAGACAGGAAGCAGCATGCCTAAGGCCAGCCAGCAGGTAGATGGGGCTCAAGCGCAGAGCCTTTGATCCCAAAGTCAGTTCCTCTTCTCCAGCCCTGGACTCGCAGAGTGTCACACTCACAGAGTGTCACAAGTAGCAGGTGGTCTGGCCTGGGTCTTGATGGTTGAGCCAGCATTTGTTTCAAGGGCCAGCTTCTTGGCCAAGGGCCAAGTGTGGCTGGGGCGGAGGTATCCGGTGGAGGTACTGCCTGAGCTCAGATGAACCCTTCCCTGCCCTCCAGGGCTTACAGGGCAGAGCAAGCTAAGCAAACTGATGATGACAGTGAAGAGCAGTGGATTCTGAGTTACCATGGGAACAGGGAAGAAGAGGGGTGCCTCTTCTTCCTAGCCTGGCATGGGATCAAGGAAGGCTTCCTGGAGGAAGAGGTACCTTGGTGGAATTTTGGCTGGGCTAGAAGGTAAGAGAGGGCATTTGAGGCAGCAAAGGCACTGAAGTGAGCAATACCGTGGTGTGCGCAGAGAATCCAAACGCTGTTCTGTGTTCAGTTGGAACCTACAGTAAGTATGAGGCCAACATAAAGCAAGTTTTATCCTGAGGGCTCTGGGGAGCCAGGGTGGGTGTTAGGCAGGGATGGTGGGGTCATAATGATGCTTTATAAAGTTCTCTGGCTGCGGCATGATAAATGGAGGGGCAGGGGGAAAGGAGTCAGGTGAGAGGTACAATGGCTGGAGAGGGGCAGTGGCATTAGGGACAGATGGAGAGGAGGTGACAGATAGGAAGATTTTGTAGGTGCCTGGAGCAGCCTTTCAGTTTTGGAGTCCACCTTGTCACTCTGTTCAAGGAGCGGGTATACCCTGCTCCCTTCTTTTGAGACTGGTTCTCACTCTGTCACCCAGGCTGCTGTGTGGTGGCACAATCACAGCTCACTGCAGCCTTGAACTCATGAGCTCAAGCCATCCTACCACCTCAACCTCTCAAGTAGCTGGAACTACAGTCATGTACTAGTATGCCTGGCTAATTTTTTACTTTTTTTTTTTTTTTTTTGTAGAGATGGGGTTCTTGCTATGTTGCCCAGGGTGGTCTCGAACTTCTGGGCTCAAGCAATCCCCCACCCCTCGGCCTCCCAAAGTGCTGGGATAACAGGCATGAGCCACTGTGCCCGGCCATATACCCCTCTTTTGATAGTCTCCAGCTGGAGGTGGGGCCTCTTTTGCCGATGCCCTAGTTGGCATGGAAGCCCTTTATAACGGTGTTCTAATTAGGGCTCCCATAACAAAGTACCATAAATGTGGTGGCTTAAAACAACAGAGATTTACTCTGTCATGGTTCAGGAGGCCAGAAGTCTAGAATGAAGGTGTCGACAGGACCAGGGACCCTCTGAGACACTGGGTCCTCTGAGAACCCTCCCTTGCCTCTTCCTAGCTTCTGGTGGTGGCTGGCAGTCCTGGGCTTGCGGTTGCATCACTCCAGCCTTGGCTGTTGCTGACACATGGCCTTCTCCCTGTGTGTCTGGCTTCACATGGCATTCCCTCTTATAAGGACAGCAGCCCACCCTCATGACCTCATCTTAACTTGATTACATCTGCAAAGACCTCATTTTCAAATAAAGTCACATTCATGGGGATCCGGGGTTAGGACTTCAAAATCTCTTTGTGGGGGACACGATTCCACTCCCAATAACCCCTAAGGGGCTGGGCATGGTGGCTCATGTGGGTAATCCTAGCACTTTGGGAGGCTGAGGTGGGAGGATTGCTTGAGCTCATGAGTTTGAGACCAGCCTAGGCAATAGGGTGAAACCCCATCTATACAAAAAATACAAAAATTAGCCAGGCACTGTGGTAAGCGCTTATAGTTCCAGCTACTTGGGAGGCCAAGATGGGAGGATGGCAGGATGGCTTGAGCTCAAGAGTTCGAGACCAGCCTGAGCAACATGTCGAAACCCCATCTCTACAATAAAATACAAAAATTAGCTGGGTGTCGTGATGAATGCTTGTAGTCCCAGCTATTCGAGAGGCTGAGGTGGGAGGATGGCTTGAGCCCAGGAGGTAGAGGTTACAGCGAGCCGAGATTGCACCACTGCACTCCAGCCTGAATGACAGAGCCAGACCTTGTCTTAAAAAAACAAAACAAACCCTAAGGGCAGGGGTTTTGCTGGTTGTTTCTGCCTCTGTGGTCTCCAGCCAGAGCCTGGCATATGTCTGTGCCAGAGGGGAGTTGTGGATAGAGTCAGAGTGTCCAGTCTCTCCCCGTGGGTGACCGCAGCCCCTGCTGCCAACAGCAGCAGCCACAGCCCGCTTGGCATCTGGGCAAGGCAGGTCTCCCGGGAAGCCCCCTCCCACGGGCTGTTCTCCGAAAGAAGTGGTGTTGATGTCGGCAGGTGCCTGTCACTTCCCTTCCCCAGCAAAGTCTCAAACTGTCAGAATAAGTGAAATAGTCATTGCCTATCTCTGCGTTTGAGATTTTATTGGCAGTTTCATTGTCACCCAAAACAACCTCCTTTTCTCCGTTGGCGTTTTCATCAGATGGGTCTGTGGGCAGGAGGAGGAGGCAGGGCTGGCTCCTAAAAACAGGCCTGGGCAGGTCATGGTGCTGGCTCCACTGGGCTGGAGTCAGCAGGGGCAAAAGACCCCGTGGTGGGCTCTGCCATGCCTTGGCTCCTGCAGAAAGCTGCTGGGCACTCTCTCCAGGGAGCAAAAAGGAAGTGAGAGACGGAAGGTAAAAACACCCTGAGAGCCCCTGGAGATGGTCACAATGGCCAGATGGGGCAGCCCAGACTGCACAGTGGGTCCTCAGGCCCTTCCCCAGTCCTCCCTGGTGGGAATTAGGGGGGCATTATGGTGGTGGGGTAGGAGCATGGGCTGTGGCATCAGACCCACCTGGCGGCAGGCACCTCAGAGCAAGCACTTCTCCCTGCAGAGCCTCAATGTGCCTGTCTGTCAAATGGGGTGGTAACAGGAACCTTCCATCAGCTGAGGGCTTGATCTGGGCCACACACCCAATTATCCTGTTCAGTCCTCCCCAGAACCGAGAGAGGTGGGTGTGCTCAAGCTCTTCATTTTCTTGATATGGAAACTGAGGCAGCCCGACCAAGGTTACCACAGCAGGCAAATTGCAGGGGTTGGGTTTGAATCCAGGCTGTGAGACTCCAAGCCTGGTTGTGAATCCACTTTGGAGGGTTAGTGGAAGGAGTGTAGGTGATATTATTTTTTTTTTTTTTTGAGACAGGGTCTCACTCTGTTGCCCAGGCCGGAGTTCAGTGGTGCGATCACGGCTCACTGCAGCCTCTACCTCCCAGGCTCAATTGATTCTCCTACCTCAGCCTCCCAAGCAGCTGGGACTACAGGTGTACACCACCACACTCAGCTAAGTTTTAATTTTTCCTAGAGGCGGGATCTCTCTGTTGCTCAGGCTGGCCTCGGACTTCTGGGCTCAAGTGGTCCTCCCACCTTGGCCTCCTGAAGTGCCAGGATTACAGGTGTGAGCCATTGTGCCCGCTGGTAATAAAGTGTCAACAGAGTACTAGGCACATGGGACAAAAAGCCATCTGTTATTGTTGTCTGGGCATGGGGTAGAATCTGGGCCCCTTGGCAGTCACTCTCTGTCCTGGGACTTTCTGGACATCACTGGGTAGTTTCACCCACAGGGTGGCCTAAGGAACCTCCAAGGGAATGGGGTGAGCTCAGGAGTTCCACTGAGACTGGGGGTCCCTGTGTGGGGCTCAATCCTGCTTCATGCTGTGATCCTGCTGGTGTACTCTGTCCCTGGCCCCCAGCAGGGCTGGGTGCCACTCTACCACATCCAAGCATCACAGAAGGGAATCTGAGGCCCAGAGAGCTGTCCCTTGCTCAGGGCTCCTGAGCCAGGGAGGTGGATACAGTGGTTAGAACCACAGATTGTGGAGTCAGTGAACTCCATGTTTGAGTTCTGGTGTGGCCACCTGCTGGTTGGTTAACAAGTTGCTGAGTCTCAGAGTCTCAGTTGCATCCTCTGCACATTGGGATAATAAAGGATTCCTCTGGAGACTGGGTGCTGTGGCTCTCACCTGTAACCCAGCTACTCAGCAGGGAGGTTGGCTTGAGCGGGGGAGTTCGAACCTGTAGCCCCGGTGCTACTCAGCAGGGAGGCTTGCTTGAGCCCGGGTGTTTGAGGCTGCAGTGAGCTATGATCACACCACTGCACTCCAGCCTGGGTTACAGAGTGAGACAGTCTCTAAAAAAAATCACATCCCCCTGCTAAGGCCGAGGGGACAAATGATGCTACACAGAAGACATTAGCACACAGAGAAAAGAAGACAGAGTTTTGGCATCTACAGGCTCCTTGAAGATCTCAGACTCCAGCCCATTCTTGGTGCAGAGGAGGAAACTGAGGCCCAGAGATTAGGGAGGGTTTCCACTTAGCCACCCCGCAGAACAGGGGCTTGTTCCTTGGCCCTGTAACTCCCGATCCAGAATGTCAGCCACCTCCCCAGCTGGCGTCGTCCCGGGAGTCCCCTCCGCCCCTCACCTGCCCTTCTCCCCGTGTCTCTGCCTTCGAGAGCCCAAGCTGCGGGCCCGCAGTGAGGAATGCCATTCTCCCTCTCCCCGGCACACTGAAGGTTTTGAAAGTTAAAGTATTACCGTCGGCTTTGTTGTTGCCTAACTACGACAGACAAATTGAGAACCAGTTGTCAAAATGTCAGTGCACAACAAATCAACATGCAGAACGAGTCTCAGCGCTCTGCGGTGTATAATTAAACAAAAAATCCCTTTTAGAAATTTCAGCGAGCGTTGGTTCCACTTTATATTTGTCTGTGTGATTAATAAAGGCAGCTAATTTTCAGACTTTAAAAACAGCTAGAAAATAGCTCCTAATTACATATTAGGTTCCTCGCGGCCCCCGCTGCGCTCCGCCGGCATTGGTGGGCCGAAGAATTTGGCAGAGTCTTAATTGCATTCTGAGCATCATCTAATTTTAGTTAAATGTAATGTAATCAGCAGCAGATGTCTGAAATAAAATATGAATTATGAATATGATGAAATTTCATTCTTGAATAAAAAAGTAATTTGCTATTTAGTTCATTAAAGTCATAGAGGTTTATTAGGAGCAGGTATATATGGCCCGATGAGGGTATATATTAAGTGATACTGGGAGACAGAAACCCCAAAGGGATGGGAAACTTCATCCAGGAGAGTTCAGTTATGATTAATGACTGTGGGGGCTGGAGAGGCTCCTGGGGACCCTGAGTTTACCCAGCCGGAGAATTCCCTCGGGCTCTTTGAGGAAGGCCCTGAGTTTTGGGACAAGGGGACTTAGAGAGGAAAGCCCTGGGTGCTGCCCCTGAGCCCTGTCCCACCCCTGACACCCACCCCCACCTCCTTACCGCTTCCAAGATGGGCACAGTGGAGAGCTGGCTCCTTGGACATTGCTCTATGCAGGACACTCACCTGGGCCTGGTGACACAGCATGAGGTGGTGATCAGCTTCTTACACACTGAGCAGAGATTGGGGCTCTGCCTCTCGCTGTGTGACCTCAGGCCAGAACCTCAGTTTCCCTTTCTATACAAGGGGACTAATCATAGTACCTATCAGACACTCTGAACAGTACCTGGAATGTGGCAAAGCCCTCGTTTAGCGTTAGCTGCTGGAGTTGCTGTTATTAGCTGTAGAGGTCATATTTTAAATTAGTATTAAAATGCCTTCTTTTGTTTTCAGTCTGTGTGTGTGTGTGTGTGTGTGTGTGTGTGTGTGTGTGTATGTGTGAGACGGAATCTCACTCTGTTGCCCAGGCTGGAGTGCAGTGGCACGATCTTGACTCACTGCAACCTCTGCTCCCCGGGTTCCAGTTATTCTCCTGCCTCAGCCTCCTGAGTAGCTGGGATTACAGGTGTGAGCCACCACATCTGGCTAATTTTTGTATTTTTAGTAGAAATGGGTTTCACCATGTTGGCCAGGCTGGTTTGGGACTCCTGACCTCAGGTGATCCACCTGTCTCAGCCTCCCAAAGTGCTGGGATTACAGGCATGAGCCACCGCACCCAGCATGTTTTCATCTTTTTTGTTTGCTGTTTAGAGATAGGGTCTCACTCTGTCACCCAAGATGGAGTGCAGTGGTACCATCATAGCTCACTGCAGCCTCCCAACTTTGGGCTCAAGCAATCCTCCTGCCTCAGCCTCCCAAGTAACTGGAACTACAGGGCACACACTACCACACCTGGCTAATTTTGTATTTTTTATTGTTTTGTAGAGACAGGGTCTCACTATGTTGCCCAGGCTGGTCTTGAACTCCTGGCTTCAAGTGATCCTCCTGACTTGGCCTCCCAAAGTGCTGGGATTATAGGAGTAAGCCATGGCACCTGGTCTGTTTTGTCTCGTAAGCAGCCTGTGATGCAGATCATAAGTTCTAGTCTGTTTTTTTTAGCTGAGGCTGAGGGAGGTTAAATGATGTGTCTGCAGTCACACAGTGAATAATTGCCAAAGTTGAGATTTGAACCAGAACCGTCCTGCTCCCGGTGTTCCCTGCTACATCCAGAGCAGTGCCAGGACAGCTGGCGGGAGTCCTGGCTGAGGATTCTGGAGGGGGTGGCTCATCAGCCCCAGAAGGAGACAGAGAAGAGTGAGGGACAGGCGGGTAGGATCTGCCAGAAGATGCTCTGGTCAGGTCGGGGACAGAGGCTGCCTCTCCAACCTCCCACTTCACACCAACCAATGATTTCCTGCAATTATCTGGAAAAGATTAATTAGTAAAGTGCACCATATTGACTGAAGGCCGCCCCGGCGATCGATAACTTGGGAAAGTCTCCCAGGTGCCCAGAGAAAAAAACCGAACTGGAAAGTGGGGGAGGAGGCTCATTTTGCAACCCTGGGGTTGTCCACTCGGCTCTCTGGGTCGGGGCCAGCTCTGCGTGACTCCCTCTTGGCTTCAAGCAAGACCTTTTTGCCTCTCTGAACCTGTTTCCCCACATGTAAAGTGGGGGGCTGGACTGACCCCTATCCAGGGATCTTCCTTCTACTGGAGGAAGTTCTGGGAGGAGAGCAGGCACTCTGGGGGTACCGGGGGCTGATCGGGTGGCTGCTGTGGAGGGAGCCCCCTTCTCTAGGGCTTGACTTTCCGCTGCTGATGTGGAAGACAGCTGGAGACCAAGGACGCCTCAGGGATCCATGGTGGCTGCCATCTGAGGGTGAAAGAGAATGTCTGGTCTAAGGAAGACCAACGTCTGCTGGCTACGGTTTCTGGCAGGGCAAAGAGTCAAGTGTGTGCATCATATGGGTTAAGATGATAAGCCAGGGAGACAGGGGAATAATAACCCCAAGTCCTCACTTCCCCAAGCATTGCCTTAAGGGTCTCCTTGCCTCTTTGAACCTCAGTATCCTTCTCTGTAAATAGTGCGGTCCTGTTGAGCTGCTGGGAGTCTCCGAAGGGTTGGTGTGAGCCCATGGCCCAGCCCGGTGCCTGCGCAGAGCAGGTGCAGGGTCAACAGAAGCTGCTGTCACAGTGAGCTGCTATAGTCTCCCCCAAGCCCCAGTCAGTATCCCAGCAGGACATGGCATTCCACTGGGATGGTACCAGCGAAGAGAGTTTAGTAAAGGGAGTTCTGTAAACAGAGTTGCAAACCAAACAGGGATGGTGAGACCATCAGGGTCGGGAAACAGCAAGGTCCCCCCTTCTCATTTCCAAGGTCTGATGGGGCAGAAACGGAGTTGCCAGATCCCACAAGGAGCTGGAGCCATGGAGAGGGGTGCCACGAGGTGAGCAGGAGCCTTCGTCACAAAGGGACAGATTATTGCCAGGAATGCAGCACTTAAGCCAGCTGAGTTGGGCAGAGACACCCCAAACTCTCCCTCTGCCCGCTCCCAGCCTCCCATTGGATGATTCCACCTGAAACTTAGAGGACAAGTTGCCCCTGGATGCTGTCTATGGAGGTCAGCTTCCCAGGGTAAAGAGCCAGGCAGGGAACAGGAGAACAGACCAATGGTAAAAGGGAAAAGCCTACCACAGCCCTTCTTCCCAGAAATTTGGAGAAGCGTTTTATGGGAGGAGTCTTCTGGGTGGCAGTGGGCAAGAGGGGGTCTTCACCAGGCAGAGACTTCACCCCATGTTGCAGACCCTGAGTCCCATGAGGCCTCACCTTGCCCATGAGAAGAATCTCACTTCACGCCCAGCACTCCTGAAACAGAGCTCCTTGGGAGTTGCAAGGATGTCAGACACGCCTGGGTTTGCCAATTTCCAACTTATTTGCTTATGCCCTGGATGTAGCGGCTTCACCTCTCTGAGATGAAATGACACCGCATCAGCAGCGTCCCCAGCACGGTGCTTGATGTGTAGTGGGGGCTCACAAAGCACTCCCTCCCTCCCTTTTCCACCTTCTTTCTAATAAGCCACCCGTACCACCAGCCATTTGTCTAATAGTGATTGGGCTCCTGCCACGTGCCAGGCCTGCACCGGGCCCCGGCCCAAGCTGCTGCAGAACTGAGAATCATTTGTCCTGCAACAAACACTGTCTGAGCATCTCCTCCGAGCCAGACTCTGGGGACACAGCGGCCACAAGACAGCTCTGGCCCCTGCTCCTGTGAGGTCCACGGTGTCTCAGGGAAGCAGACTGGAAGCTGGAGTTTGGGTGTTTGGGGTTTTAATGGGGTGTTGGGAGGGCCTGGATGCCAGTCAGCAGCATCCATCAAGGAAAGAACCCCTCCAGTATTCTCAGCCTGACATCTGGGAAGGAGTCCTAGATGGGGTTCTCAGTGTGCAAGACCCCAGCACACAAGTCCAAGCAGCCCTCAAATCCTGGGCCTGGAGGGGTCTGGGAGGGCTGGACCACTCAGGTACTTTCCCTCCACTCACCCCCAGGACCACCGCCCACCACCTCACCTCCCACCAGGACCTGAGGGCGCTGGCCTGCTGCCCCCTGGCCACTCCCTGGCCCAGGTCAGCCGCCTGCCCCTGCTCTATTCATCAAGGGCATGACAACTGAAATTCATTTGAAGATGAAGAAAGTGCCCGCTAATCCATTCTGCAAGACATTGATAGACTAGCAGCTCAGGGAGAATTGCACGGCAGTAATGAAATTAGGCTAAAACTGCTGGCGGATTGCAGATAATTGCCCTTGTCTGTCACTAGGAATAACATCTCCCAAATCCAACACAATGATTGTTCAAGTTGCAGGAATTTCTTTTCTTTTCCTTTTTTTTTTTTTTTTAAAGGCAGGAGAGGCAAGGCCAATCTGGGTCTTGGAAGCTTTGCCTGGGCAGCAGCCTGGGGTGTGGGAAGTGGGCATCTGTATACTCACCACCTCCCCTGCCCAGCCTCAGCCAGTAGGGATGGGGGTACAGGGCAGGAGGAGGAGGTCAGGACATTTTTCCCTGGATGCCCTCCACTCGCATATTCTAGCCAGTAAGGTCCTGGGTGGAAAGCAGAGAGGGAGCAGGGAATCTTGGGGAGTGGGGCCTAAGCAGTGACAGCTCTGGATTTGTTTTAGTTTTTGTTTTGAGACAGGGTGTCACTCTGTCACCCAGGTTGGAGTGCAGTGGTGCGATCATAGCTCCCAGCAGCCTCGAACTCCTGGGGCCAAAGCGGTCCTCCTGCCTCAGCCTCCCAAGTGGCTGGGACTACAGACACATGCCACCAGACCGAATTGACAGCTCTGGATTTTTATGAGATTGAGTCTGCCTGGAAGAAGAGTCATAAAGTCACACTTCCATTATGTTGAGGCAACATCCATTCCGCACATAAGAGAATGGACTGAGGCGGGGCAGCTCAAGCCCCACTAAGCCACTCCCCAAGGCTGCTATGGGGTCTAGATTCTCAGAGAGGAAAGTTCTGAGAAGGGACTCTTTATGGACTCAGTGGTTTCCTAGGCTGTTGGCGTGATCGGCGCATAGCTGGCTGTAGTTAATGCTGCCTGAGTGAATGACGTCAGAGAGCATTCAATGTCAGCAACAGCATGTTTGAATGTCAGCATGATGGGCTTGTCACGTGTTAGCATTATGGCATGTGTGCATGTCATCGGATGATGTCATAGAAGATTTGAATGTCAACATCGTGCTATGTTCCAATGTCAGCAGCCCAGAAAGCTTGACTGTCCTTCTCCTAGGTGGTTGGAGTGTCAACATCATGTTTTAGCACAGGCAGATAATTGACTCAGAGAACGGGGAGCTGTAAGGAGTGCTAGGGATTGGTCCAAACTTCACTTGACAGATGAGGAAATGGAGGCCCAGAGAAGTTAAGTGATTTGCCCAAGGTCACACAGCAAGAAGGATCCTAAATGTAAGCTTCATCAGTGTCACAGTTTGGGCTAGGTCAGCCCTTGGAGAACTTGTAACCCTTTCTCTCCACCAGGTCCCTCTGGTCCCAGTCCCCCTGGGGTGCTGGTTCCTGGTCCTCAGTTCTTGGGAATATGCCCATGCTCTGAAATTGATTGCAGGAATTCCCAGAATCCTTTGGCCTGCTAACCATGGGTTAGTCAATTTCGCTCATCAGCCCCAGCCATGGAAGGAGTCACGCTTTCTCTATCCTCATTCCTTTTGATCAAAAGGAGTCTGTTGAGGGCTTCTTATGGCCAAGGAAGGGTGCTGAGAATGAGATGAGGCCATGAGGAAGATGGCAGAGTGGACTGGAGCCGTAGAGGAGGGAGATGTGATCCCCATTGAGGGCTTATGTTTGGGAAGTCTTCAGGAAGAAGTTGACTTTTGAAGGGGGTTTTGAAGGAGCCGAAAGGTTTTCACCTGGAGCCTCAGCCAGAGTTGGAATTGGGAGAGGGGCTAGGTATGGGGATAGAAGACATTTGCCCCCAAAATGGGGAAGAGGCCCAGATAATGGGGGTAGAGGTGGTGGTACAGTACCCGATGATGTAGGGCCATTTATTATGGTCTTTCTTTTCATCAGATTTCATCCACAACCTCCAATACCCCTGGCAGCCCTGGAAGAATCAGTGATTGTCAAAGTGTGATCCACAGACCTCTGCGGGTCCCCAAGACTCTTTCAGGGTTTCTGGGAGGTCAAAACTGTTTTCATCATAACGCAAAGATGTCCTTTCATCAAAGTACTTGCCAGGCCTGACCCTACGTAGCTTTGGAGATGCAGACAAAATTGGGCACATTCAGGGTAGCACGGCTACAGACAATACAAAGATATTATTGGCCTTTTTCACCATGTTGACATTTGCACTCAGGGTGCAAAAGTCATGGGTGGCTACAACTGCTGGTTTCGTAGCATCGACCAGAGCAGTGGAACCACACTGGGAGAGAAATCATCTCTTTCTTCATCTTAAATACTCTTGGCAAAAAAGCCAGTTTCACTTAAGAATGCCCTTGATGAAAATTTAAAGGGTCTGGGCGTGGTGGCTCACACCTGTAATTCCAGCACTTTGGGAAGCTGAGGTGGGAGGATCACTTGAAGTCAGGAGTTCGAGACCAGCCTGGTCAACATGGTGAAACCTTGTCTCTACTAAAAACACAAAAATTAGCTGGGTGTGATGGCGGGCGCCTGTAGTCCCAGCTACCTGGGAGGCTGAGGCAGGAGAATCGCTTGAATCCGCGAGGCAGAGTTTGCAGTGAGCCGAGATCATGCTACTGCACTCCAGCCTGGCGATAGAGCAAGACCCTGTCTCAAAAAAAAGAAAAAAAGAAAATTTAAAGGTATTAATTAAAAAAATCTCAACCTTTGAACATGCCACTTCTAAATATTCTGTGTGACAAAATGGGAAGTATGTACAACAAGAACCCTCTCTCCTGGCTCCGTCGTTGCTTGAGACAAGCACCGTGTGACTGGGTTGCAAGCTGCGCTAGCCACTCTTCATGGAACACCATTTGTACTTGAAAGAACAACCAACCAACAAACTATAGCCTTTCAGACTGGGACATTGGCAGATATTCTCTTAAAAATGAACAAAGTTGCCTGTCAACTGACAGTATTTGTTGCCAATGATAAAATTTGACTTGCAAGCAAAAATTAGAATTTTGGAGAACTTGTGTCTGCCACCGTGGGTTTGACAGCTTCCTACTTAAATACTTTCCCAGAGACTGGTGGTATATTAGTGAATGTGACTTTTTTGGATATTGTATTATGAAATGTGACATCATCTAGAAGAGATGCATAATTCAGTAAACCAGTATTTTTTCCAATGACCAATGCATCATGTTACAAAATGAATAAAAGACCCATTCAAAGTGCAAAGCAGACCAGCGGGTTTTAACAGAGTAGGAAGAGCTCATTGATGTGGTTTCAGATACCATATTGTAACAAACCATTGAGAAACTACCACTTGTGAAGATCTGGTTTAGTATCCAAGAAGGATATCCATAATTATCTGAGAAGGCTATTAAAATACTCTTTCCTTTTTGAGCCAAATATCTGTGTGAAGCCAGATATTCTTCCCACACTTAAACCAAAACATGTTGCAACAAGCTGAATGCAAAAGCACATATGAGAATCCAGCTGTGTTCTATTAAGCCAGTCATTACAGAGATTTGCAAAAATGTTAAACAATAAATGAATTCCCATTTTATGGGTGCTGAAACTGGGGCTTAGAAAGTGGCAGAGCTGTGCCTTGGATCAAATCCCTTTCTCTGCTGTGCCTCAGTCTCCCCATCTGGTCGCCGACCTAGAAGCTGATGAGCAAAGGTCTTCTCACATCTCCTGCCCAGGCATCAGTGCCAGGCTCTGGCCCCTTGGCCCTCTTCCCCACCTGCTGCCCAAGGTGGGCGGGGTCCAGGCCCTGGGAGGCTGGTGGCCAGCCTCACGTCCCCAGGCCTGGCAAGGAGATGACCAGGGTCGTTTGCAGTAATGAATTGCGGACGGGTGGCGGCCGGGTGAAGGAGTGCGCCGGCCATGGCCCGTAATGCCTCACACGCCAGGTCTGGCACGGGTAATTTACTGCCACCGACAATAACATATTTCACTTCCCGTCGCCCCAATGAAGATTAGTTGTGTTTGCAAGTGGCTGAGTACACAGTCAATTCCGCTTAAACGTTTACAGTCAACTGAGCACAGATAATGCCCCCTCCGAACATGTATCTGTGCCTCCTGCAGCTCGGGGAGGGGCTCAGAGCAGAGGAAGGGGGTCCCCGCCCCAGGAAGGGACTGCAGCTGCTGCTTCACCGAGACCCAGGCTGTATAGTGGGAGGGATTTGGGAGCCGGGGGTTGGGCTGAGATCTATAGCTTCCTTTGATGCCCCCCTCCCCCACCTCTTTTCAGATTGTCCTTTAAAATCATTCATTCAACAAACACTTTGCTAAGGACCTCTGTATAGCCTTTAGGTACAGGGAGAATTCAAAGCCATGATTATATTTGATTCTAGCGACATCCTAGGAGGCATATTTGCTCTCCAGTTTCCAAAAGAAGGGAAGTTAAGGCTCAGGGAGGCTCAATAGCTTTCCCAAGGTCACATAGCTGGTGCCATGCAGAGTCAGGATTTGAACCCAGGCCTGATGGGGTTTCTGAGTCTCATATTATTCCTAGTGGTCCTGATTGTACAAGCTTGAGCCCTGGCCTGGGCTAGATTGTCTGCCCTGTCCAACAATGGCCCCACAGCTGCTAGAGGAACTCTAGATTCATATTCCCTGTGCACCTATATTTGGGTTGACCAGTAGACTCTGGTTTGGAATCCCTGGGTCAGGTAGGGGGTCCTATGGCAGGGCTGGGGTGCTTTGAGCCTGAAGTCATTTAAGCCTGGACAGAGGAGGGAGGCCTGGAATTTTTCTTGTCAGGTGAAGGAGTTTGCTCCTGAGAAGCAGGCTTCTTTTCTTTTTTTTTCTTTTTCCTTTTTTCTTCTTTTTTTCTTTCTTTCTTTTCCTTTTTTTTTTTTTGACAGGGTCTTACTCTATCACCTAGGCTGGAGTGCATTGAGGCAGTCATGGCTCACTGCAGCCTCAACCTCCTAGGCTCAGGTGGTCCTCCCACCTCAGCCTCCCAAGTAGCTGGGACCACAGGTGCACACCATCATCCCCAGCTAATTTTTTTTTTCTTTTTGAGATGAAGTCTCACTCTGTTGCCCAGGTTGGAGTGCAGTGGTGCCATCTTGGCTCACTGCAACCTCCGCCTCCTGAGTTCAAGCCATTCTCCTGCCTCAGCCTCCCGAGTAGCTGGGACTACAGGCGCCCACCACCATGCCCAGCTAATTTTTATATTTTTTGTAGAGACTGGATTTCCCCATGTTGCCCAGGCTGGTCTGGAACTACTCCTGGACTCAAACAATCTGCTTACATCAGCCTCCCAAAGTCCTCCCAGGTGTGAGCCACCATGCCTGGCCAACAAACAGGCTTCTTTTTTTTTTTTTTTTTTTTCCTGAGACAAAGTCTCATTCTGTTGCCTAGGCTGGAGTGCAGTGGCACCGTCTCAGCTCACCACAACCTCCGCCTCCCAGGTTCAAGTGATTCTTCTGCCTCAGCCTCCCGAGTAGCTGGGATTACAGGTACCCACCACTTACGCCCAGTTAATTTTGTATATTTAGTAGAGATGGGGTTTCACCATGTTGGCCAGGATGGTCTCAAACTCCTGACCTCAAGTGATCCACCTACCTTGGCCTCCCAAAGTGCTTTGATTACAAGTGTGAGCCACCGCACCCAGCCCAAACAGGTTTCTTGATGAGGGTTGCCCAGTCCAGTCCTGGGGCCCAGCTCCCCACCAGACCTACCCCTGACACTTGCAGGGTCTAGAGTTGGTATGCATGGAGGCCCTGGCCCCAGGCCACCCAGCCCTGTCTTCCCAACATGGGCTGCAGCCAGGACTGGAAAGACCTTGCTTACATATATGTAGATGCCAGCCCACCAGGCCCAGCTCCAGACACACCCACCCCCTGAAACGGCTGCCCCTTGGCCAAGAGGCCTACTCTTACTGGTGGCAGATTTGTCCTGGGAGCATGGACCTTGGATGGGCTTAGGGAAGGGCCCCTCCAGGCCACAGAAGGGGGCTGAGGGCTGTTGGAGAAGGGGATTCCAGGATCTCAGCTTCTGGATTCGGTCAGGAGAGGGGCAGGCCCCCGGTGGGCACGTCCCCTGTGGGAGGGGGCTCAGCTGAGTCCTCTAAGTAGCAAGCAGGTAGTCCAGGTCCAAGGTGATGCCATCTCCAAGCTATCCTTGCTCATGGCCAGGGGGGTGTTGGGGAGGCCGAGGGGGTGATCTTGGGCCCCTCCATTCCACACCGCTCCCTATCCAAGGCCAGCCTCTGAAGTCCCTGAGGGGCTTCCATGCCATGGTGACCTCGCCGGCACTGCCCGTCCAAGGCCTGCTATGGAGAAGCAGAGACCCGCTGTGCCTCACCCTGAGGCTGGGCCTTCCATCGCCAGAATCCCACTGCAAATGTCAGACTTTCATGTCTCACTGAAGCCCCGTTACCTGGCAGGTGGCCATTCTCTCAGGGAGGAGCTGTGACTCAGAGAAGGGAGGGTACACATGGGGGAGGGAGGGGCCAGGGCCCAACTTCAGGTCTGCGTCCCCAGGGGAGGTCCCGGCCCTCTGCCCTGGACCTGTGGTGGGAGGGAGTGTGTGTGCGCACGTGTGTATGTGTGTGTATGTGCGTGTGCAGGTATGTGTGTGTCTGTGCATGTGTGCATGTGTATGTGTGTGTGTGTGTGCGTGTGTGTGGTCCTGGCCACACATGCACATGTGATAGGGTCCCACATGGTGTCACACTATGTCAGGGGCATCATGCCAGCAGATGCCGTGGGACACTGTCTACTGGGGTGACACTGTACCAGACACAATGTGTCTGTCCATGTCTGCGGACACTGCTGGGTGCCTCTGTTGTCTGTGATGCAGTTTATCTGTGGCAGTGGGACACTGTCCAGTTGACCCTGGCGGGTGGATGGGCATTGCTTACCTGTGTCTGTGCCACTGTCTGCTGCTGCTGTCCTGCAGACACTCTCTTCTCTATCTGTTTGGGACTCCGTGTGTATCTCTGTAACACTGTGGATGTGTCTGCAAGGCACGGTCCAGGTGACCCTGTGAGTGAATGGAGACACTGTCCCAGGACACTGTAAATCAGACTGTGTGTGACACTTCCCCTAGGAGCCTGGACAGTCAATGTGACACTATCTGTCTCTGTGACATCATCCGGGTGGCCTGTGTGTGTCTCCGTGACACCAGCCAGATGGCCTTGCTGGATCCCTGTGGCACTCTCCCCTTGTGACTGTAACTGTGTGCCAAGGCTTGAGACACCCTGCTGGACACTGGCTGCTGGTGACTGCTGGACTCATCCTTGAGTCTCTGAGTCATCCAGGCCACTCCCCTCATCCACCCAGATCCTGAGAAGAGGACTTGCGGCAGCAGAAATCACCACAGAGACCTTAGCCCTCAGTGACCACAGACCAGGGTGCCCACTGCTGGACGGATCTGACACCCGTGGTCTTGTCCACCCTCCTGCCTCCCCACACGGGTGCATCTGTCACCCTAAGCCCTCTCTGTCCTCAGGGGCAGCAGTGGCAGGGCCTTTCATCCTGGACTGGACCCCACCCAGCCATTTCCAAATCTGGGAGCCTCTCCGGGGCTCCCAGGGCACAGCACCTGTCCACCTATTGAGCCCCTACAATGGGCCGAAACTGTTCGGACACTGGGGTGCAGTCAAGTCCCTGCCCTTGCCAAGTACACCAGGAGCACCCCTCACGAGACCACCCTTGGATGCAGAGCCCCATCCAGCCCCCGCCCACCAGATGCCTAAAGCTCCGCTGAAGCCTCGTGTTCTGGAGGAAAAACAGCCTAGGACAGGAGTCGGTGAACCTGGCTGATGACTCCTTTGCTGTGTGACCCTTAGATAGCTTGCTGAACTTCTCTGGGCTAAGACCTGAGATGGCCTAAGGAAGGGCTTTGATGGTTGGGAAGTGCAGTAGAAAAAGCAGAATGCCCTGCACTGGCACAGACTCCTTGGTGCTCAGAGGCCGCTGCTTCTCTTAGAACAGCCTCTGAGTCAAGTGCTGTACATGCCTTGTCTCCTCCGAGCCAAGCCCTCTTTGATTTCCACTTTGCAGATGCGGAAATAGGTTCAGAGAAGGCAAATGGCTTGCGTGGAGGCCCCACAGATGACAGAGCTAGGACCAAACCCATACTCGGAATAACCTCTAAGCTGCCCACTGTGGTCTCCAATATGGAGGAGGCATGGCAGAAATTATCTTCCCCTTTTACAGACGGGGGAACTGAGGCTTGGAGAGGGAATGTGATGTTTGGGGGTTTCTGGACTCCCCAGCCAGTGCTCCCCCACCCCTCCCTAATCCCTCTACCATCCTGAGTGCAAAGCACAATGATTATGGTGAGGGGAGGGTTGGGCAGGAGGAGAGAGCCTGTTGGGGACAAAGGATCCCTGTGGCCACACAATGGTGACAATCAAAGCCAGATGACAGGCACTGGGCTCCGGAGCAGCTTGGAACCCACCTGCAGCTTCCTCCAGACAATGGGGTGCCTGTGTTCCTGGGAGGGGCACAATAGCCCCCTGTGTTTGGGGGCCTGCCTCTCCCTGCACCACTCTGGGGGCAGGAGACGGTCATGGCAGCCTCGCCTAGGAGCCAGGTGGGAGGGGCTGGGTAAGCCCCCACATGGTGGAGGCAGGAAAGCGGGAACAGGCAGCCCACCCGCCTGGTATGGTTTGGAAGATCTCTCTTCTCTGACCCAAACACCTCACCAACAACAGCCTGTCACCATGCCTAGAAGTGTGCAACTAGCTCTCCAGTCCGTTGCCTTTGGAGAATCAATTTACACATCTCAGAGCCTCAGTTTCTTCATCTGTAAAATGGAACCGATAGACCTTAGTTGGCAGAAGTGCCATGAAAATTCAATGAGAGAGGCACATTGAGTGACACACAGTAATGGCTTGATAGTAATGGCTTGAGATGAGTTAGTTCCTTTTCAGGATGGATGGATGGATGGACAGAATAGATGAGTGGAAGGATGGGTATGAGGTGAGGGCCTGGGTAGCAACTGGAAGGATGAATGACAGATGGAATAATGGCTGCGGTGATCAGGGAAGGCTTCCAGGAGGAGGCAGACAGGCAGAGAGGAGGGTACTCCAATTCCCTAGCTCCTGGCCTGGATCCTCACACAGAGCAGGTGCTCAGATAACCTTTCTTTTTCTTTTTTTTTTTTTTTGAACACTCTGTCACCCAGGCTGGAGTGCAGGGGCACGATCTCGGCTCACTGCAACTTCCGCCTCCCAGGTTCAAACGACTCTCCTGTCTCAGCCTCCCAAATAGCTGGGACCACAGGTATGCACCACCACTTCTGGCTAATTTTTATATTTTTAGTAGGGACGGGGTTTCACCATGTTAGCCAGGCTGGTCTCGAACTCCTGACCTCAAGTGATCCACCCGCCTCAGCCTCCCAAAGTGCTGGGATTACAGGTGTGAGCCACTGCGCCTGGCCCAGAGAACACTTGTTGAGTGAATGTGTGATGTGCTGCCAACAGGGCCCCTCTCCTTGGATCCCAGGTCTGTGCTGATCAGGCGCTGGGGTTTGTCTGTCCCTCACCAAGGCCCTTCCAGGGGACAGGACAAGGACTCCAGTCCCTCTCTGTGCTGGGGAGAGGTGGCAAAGGCACGAGACTTGGCATCACGTGGTCCCAGCACCAAGTTCCAGCTCCACCTCTTCCTGGCTGTGTGACTTTGGGCCAATCCCTTTCCCTCTCTGAGCCTCAGCTGCTTCTACTCTGTAAACTCGGTGTATCATCCTGACCTCACCCTGGTGTCATGGGCAGCGAGAGGTGATAGAGATGGGTGTCTCCAGTGCACAGCAGGTTCACAGTCTGGCTGCAGCGCAATGGCCGTGAAGGGCTCAGGGCCCAGAGTCAAGACCTGAGTCATGGCCTCTGGAATCCTAACATCCCCCTAACTTCTGTCCTCCAGCCCCTGAACCTTGAAGGGGTCGATGGGACATTTCATAATTTAAAGAGACCAAGCAAGAGACTCTCGAACCACAGCCGCCTCTTAATGGAATTGCTGAAAAGGGCTTTTTAATTAAAAATAAGAAGTTTGGGACAGGTTCATATCCATAATTCAGGACCCTGGCACTGCCACCTCCCGTGATTTCATTTCCCTATATTTATGTCTCTCTCTCGCAGAGATCTATATTATTAAAATCCTGCATGAAAAATGGGCTCAGCTTTTCAGGTGGAGTTGTAAATATTTACCCTTCCTAATGCAGGTCCCCCCACCTCTGTCTCAGGAAGCTTAGGGGCTTTTAAATGCAGCTTAAGCATCCCAGAGATGTCTCATTAAAATTTAGTCTTGCTTTTCCTTCTGCTTTGTTTAGCACCTACAGAGCAAGGGAGAGTGGCTGGGAGGGGGCCAGGGAGGTGATGGGGGTAGGGTCAGGGGACCCTAGCTAGGTGGGCCTGGAGACCCCTGCAGAATCTCCAGAGCCCCAGCCCAGAGAAGAGCCTACAGGGCAGGGGAAGTGCCCGGAGCTGGCTCTTCCTCGGGGAAGGTCATGTCTGCAGTGTTGGCTGTGCTGGCCATGGGCTGTTCCATGTCGCCCCCTTTCAGCCCCCACCTCACAGAGCCTGGGGGGCTTCCTGAGTCACTCCCTTCCCTCCCTCCCTCTCTCTCTTCCTCTCTCTCTCTTTCTTTTTCTTTCTTTCTTTCTCTTTCCCCTTTTTCTTTCTTTTCTCTCTGTTTCTCTCTCTACCCTCTTTTCTTTCTCTTCTTTCTTTCTCTTTCTTTTTTCTTTCCTTCTTTCGTTCCTTCCTTCCCTTTCTTTCTTTTCTTTCTTTTTCTTTCTTTTTTCTCCCTTCCTTTTTCTTTCTTTCTTTCTTTCTTTCTTTCTTTCTTTCTTTCTTTCTTTCTTTCTTTCTTTCTTTCTTTTTCTTTCTTTCCTTCCTTCCTTTCTTCCTTCCTTCCTTCCTTCCGTTTCTTTCTTTGTCTCTCTCTCTTTTTCTTTCTCTCTCTCTCTCTCCAAGGTCTTGCCCTGTCTCCCAGGCTGGAGTGCAGTGGCACAAACACAACTTACTGCAGCCTCTATCTCCTAGGTTCAAGTGATCCTCCCACCTCAGCCTCCCAAGTAGCTGAGACTACAGGTGCCCACCATCACACCTCGCTAACTTTTTTAAAACTTCATTCATAGATACAGGGGGTCTTGCTATGTAGCCCAGGCTGTTCTCAAACTCTTGGCCTCAAGCCATCCTCCCACTTCTGCCTCCCACCTTCCCCCTTTCCTTCCTCTGAATTTGCCACACTCTCATGAGCCTCCAGGCCTTCATACCTGCGTGGAATACTGGAATAGTTTTCTGCCCAGAGTCACTTTACTTCTCCTTAGTTCCTTCGAGTCTCTGCCTGCACATCTGTTTCTTGGGAGAATGTCCAGGCCTTGGGCTGGGTTAGGGGCCCCTCCCTACATGCTTGCCTTGACAGTGGCAATGTCACAAGCGGCTGTCGTTTCCATCTTGCCACCACCCCCATCTATTGGCTTCCTGGAGATGGGGAGTGTTTCTTGCTCCCCACCATGTCCCCAGCACCGGCACAGGGTCTGGAAAGTCATAAGCCCTCAGCAAGGGGACATTCAATGAGGGTTGCACAACAGAGGAGAGTCAGGGATTTGCCCAGAGGGTCCTGGGTGACAGCTTTCCTAAACTGCTTTCCGGGCTGTGCCACGTGGCCCTGCCCAGCTCTGGTGGGTGATTCTGAAGGTCTGGGGTGGCCCCCAGCTCGGTTTTGCCCTGACCACAGGTTCAGAGCATGAATCACAGACACACGGGGCAGGGGTCTACCCACAGGGTTTTTGTACACACCGTTGGGCGGACAGTGCACCAGCTTTAGTGAGGTGTCAGTTACATACTGCAGAAGGCACACACTGGAAGTGCATCATTCAATGGTTGTCTGGATATTCACAGAGTTTGCAACTAGCACACAATCAATTTTAGTACATTTTCATCATTTCCCTCAAAAGGAAACTCCCTCATTAATAGTCACACACACACACACACACACACACACACACACACGATCCATGGCAACCACTAACCTTTCTGTCTCTCTGGATTTACCTATTCTTGGCATTTCATATAAATGAAACTATTAACATGTGGTCATTTATGATGGGTTTCTTTCACCAAACATGCTGTTTTCAAAGATCATCGATGTCTTCACATGTATCAGAATTTCATGCCTTTTTAACAGCTGAGTAATATTCCATTGTAGGGATAGACCACATTTGATTTATCCAGCCCTCAGTCGATGGACGTATGGGTTGTTTCTACTTTTTAGCTATTATGAATAATGTTGTTATGAGCATTTGTGTACAAGTCTTGATGTGGACGCATCAAGTCTTCATTTCTCTTGAGTAGATAGTGGAGAGTAGAATTGCTGGGTCTTGTGCTTGGGTTTTTTTTTTTTTTTTTTTTTTTTTAAGATGGGGTCTCACTGTGTTGCTGGAGTGCAGTGCCTACTCACAGGCACAATCATAGCTCACTGCAGCCCAGAACTCCTGGGCTCAGGTGATCCTCCCGCCTCAGCCTCCTGAGTATGCTTGGGACTACAAGTGCACCTTGGCAGGTGTACTTACTTGTATACTTGGGACTACAGGTACACACCCAGCCTTGCTGGGGTTTTGTGATGGCATTTTGGCACTCTGAAGCTTTCTGGCAGCCTCCTGGGTGGTGAGGGAAGGGCCGTGCTGACAGCTGGGAGTGGCAAGAGGGGAATATACAGAGGATAGGAGAGCATTTATCAGCCATGACACCTGGGTAAGTCCCTCCATCTCTGAGCCTTGGCTTCCCCACCCGCCATGCAGGGATAATCGGTGTGCCTCCTGGAGTTGCCGGGGGCCATATGAAATGACAAGTCAGAGTGACAAGCCTCGGTAGCCACTCCCCTTCACCAGGTGTGGGACGGGCCCTGGGAACGCTGCATCAGCTGTCAAGCGCTGCTGTTCCTGCCCCTCTTCCCGGGCCGGGTGCTGTCAATCAGCTCCCACACACTTATCTGGGGTCGTGGCCCCCTAGTTCTGCCCGTCCTGTGGGTGCTGAGTGAATGTCTCCTCTGCGCAGAGGTGTCCTCGCTCATTTTCCAGCTGATGGAGCCAATTAGTAGTGTCAGGAGGTTCTTCTCACCTGTGATTCCATTATAACAGCCAGAAGGGAAGATGCTACTCCAAGGAGATCATTAAAAAGTCTAAATTATCAGGTACCCAACGCAGCCTCTCCTCTCACTTGCCCAGAGACAGCAGCAAGGGCAGTGGGGGGTTTCCATGGGGTGGGCGGTAGTCAGAGATCAGGGAAGCCCCTGGGCTTGGCTTGAGTGGAGCAGGGCCCCTCCTCCCCCATCCCCAGGCGCTGGCTGCCAGGCATCAGGTGCCCCTGTCCTCTGTGCTGTGGGCCAGTAGAGAGGGGAGGGGACCCAAGGCCTCTCCTATTCCCGAGTGCTTGACTTTCCCTGCCCCAGTTCACACAATCCTCACAAAGGCAGCCCCGGTGATTGTAGAGCCTCAGTTCCCCTGGGTCTGCAAGACACAGAGCCTGTGCTTTGTCAGCCTCAGTGACAGGTCATTACTGTTATTGTGTTATTAATATTGTCAACATCTCCTACACCCACCCAGATACACTTTGCAAAACTCTGCCCTGGTGGAAAAAGCCCTGGAGTGGGAGTGAGGGGTCCAGGTTCCAGGCCCTGTCTGCTACGGGAGACCCCAGTGATGGTGGCAAATCCCACCCCATTGGGCCTTGAGTCACCATCTGCACAGTGGGGATGATCACATTGCTGTGTGGCAGTGCCTTGCAGTGGCCAAGGTCTAGAGTGGCAGCCAGGCTACCTGCTCTGCCCTTCACAGGTGACTTGAACCCTTAGAGCCTCTGTTTTCTCATCTGTGAAATGGGAGAATAATATTCCTCACTCCGCTGGGTTGTGGTGAAAAACTGGGTTGTGGTTACACGTGCAATGCCTGGCTCAGAGCAGGACTCAGTCAACATTAGCAAATGTGGCCAATGCTTGGACCTGCTCTGAGGACCCAGAAAGGTGAGGGGTAGAGGGGTGTTTGGGGGACCGCCATGCAGTGGATCAAAGGGGGCGATGGTTTGGCTAAGAGAGAAAGAGAGAGAATGGGGCCAGCATATTCATTTCTCCTCCAAGGTAAACCAGGAAGGAGCTCCTAGGTAGACCCCTGGCCCCTGAGGTGAGGCCACGCTGGCACTCGTCACCTGAGGGACCCTTCACCTGGGGCAACCATGCAGCTGTCACCCAGGGGCTGCAGTTGGAGCCCCTCTTCCGTGTCACTTTCCAATCTGCCATGAGGAATCAAAGACACTGACGGGCCTGTTAGTGCCCATTCTCCGGGGATCACTCAGACAATTTCCCCATGCTCCGTGACAACGGGTGGTAATTAAGGTGTCAGCATATCATTTAGCCCTTTCAGTGCAAAGCTCAGAGACAGGCTGGGTGATCTTCAGCCTCATTAATGAGAGACGTGCAGAGAGAGTGGGAGGGTGGGAGGCAGGTGCGCTGGCTTCAGAGAGGGACACACGCCCTGCTTCCCCTTCCAGACTGTGTTGGCCATTCTTCCCAGGTGGCTTCACTGACCTCCTGTAGCAGACAGGGCCTGGAACCTGGACCCAAGGGGGAGGGATGCATCCAGTGGGCAGGTGGATATCTGAGCAGCCTCAGGGCTCATCGCCGTGGAGGTGGGCAGGAGAGGAGATGGCCTGGGAGCTATAGAGGGGCAGAAGGGACCAAGGACACGTTGGTTCTGCTGCATCAAACGTGCCCCCAGCTCTGGGGACCCCCATCAAAGCCCTCAGGAGGCTGCTTGGCCAATGGGCGGTGCAGGCCTCATGCTCCCTTCTAGGCAGTGACTCCTGGAAGACGGGACCATGTATGTCACCTCCATCTCTGTCTCCAGTTCTCCAGAGCTTGGCAGAGAATGAAACTCCATAAATGCTTAAAGGGTGCAGGCAGGCAGGAGGGAGGGAGGGAGAGAAGGAAGGAGGGAGGGAGGGGTAAAAAAGACAAATAGAAGAGAAGAGAGGGGTCAGAGAGGCAAATGTTTGATAATGAGAGGAATGAGGTATGAAAATGATATGAGCATTAAAAAAAGGATGCTGGAGCCGGGCGCCGTGGTTCACACCTGTAATCCCAGCACTTTGGGAGGTGCTGGTGGATCACCTGAGGTCAGGAGTTCAAGACCAGCCTGGCCAACATGGTGAAACCCCATCTCTACTAAAAATACAAAGATTAGCTGGGCGTGATGGCAGGTGCCTGTAATTCCAGCTACTTGGGAGGCTGAGGCAGAAGAATCGCTTGAATCCGGGAGGCAGAGGTGGCAGTGAACCGAGATCACACCACTGCACTCCACCCTGGGCAACGGAGCAAGACTGTCTCAAAAAAAAAAAAAAAAGAACAGAAAAAAGAAGAAAAGGCCACGGAAATGTGACTCTGTGTGTGTAGGTGTGTGTGTGTATATGTGTGTGTGTGCTGGGTTAAACTATGCCCCCTAAAAAGATACGTTGAGGTCCTAACACCCTATACCCATAACTATGGCCTCATTTGGAAATAGGGTATTTGCAGATGTAATCAAATTGAGATGAGGTCATTAGCACGACTCCTAATCCAATATGACCGGTGTTCTTGTAAAAAGAGGAAAAGAGACCCAGACACACAGGGAGGAGACCATGTGATGATGCAGGCAGGGATTGGGGTGATGCAGCTGTAAGCCCCGAAATACCAAGGTTTAATGGTCACCTCAGAAGCTAGGAAGAGGCAAGGAAGGATTTTACCCTGAATCTCAGATGGAATGGCCCTGCTGACCTATGATTTTAGACTTCCAGCCTCCAGAACTGTGATAGAGTTGATTTCTGTTGCTTTAAGCCACTCAGTGTGTGCTACTTTGTTATAAGAGCCTAGGACACTAGTACAGTTTATATATACACCTGTGTGTACAAAAGGGAGGAAAGAGAAAAGAGAGAGAGAGATGGAGATACAAAAAAAGTGCCTGAGATTTAGTGCCTGAGAAAGCTGAGGCTTCAGCATAGCTTGACCAATCACACTGTCTGTGTTGAGAGGCTCTCTTGGCAGAAGCATCACCATCCCCATAACCACCACCACCACCACCATTATCACCATTGTGACCACCATCACCACCACCACCATCACCACAGCACCATCACCGTCATCACCACAGAACCACCACCAACACCACAGCACCACCACCACCATCACCACCACCACCACTACCACCACCACCACCATCACCATCACCGTCACCATCACCACCACTACCATCACCATCACCATCACCACCACCACCACCATCACCACCACCATCACTATCACCATCACCACCATCACCACCATCACCACCACCATCACTATCACCACCACCACCATCACCACCACCACCACCACCACTACCACCACCACCATCACCACCACCATCGCCATCATGATCACCACCACAATCATCACCACCACAACCGTCACCACCACCATTACCACCATCATCACCACCACCACCATCACCACCATCACCATCATCACCATCACCACCACCGCCATCATCACCATCACCACCACCACCATCACCACCACCATCGCCATCATGATCACCACCACAATCATCACCACCACAACCGTCACCACCACCATTACCACCATCATCACCACCACCACCATCACCACCATCACCATCATCACCATCACCGCCACTGCCATCATCACCATCACCACCACCACCATCATCACCATCACCACCACCACTACCACCACCATCATCACCACCACCATCACTACCATCACCACCATCACCACCATCACCATCATCACCATCACCACCACCACCATCATCACCATCACCACCACCACCATCATCACCATCATCACCACCACCACCATCACCATCACCACCACCACCATCACCACCACCACCACCATCACCATCACCACCACCACCACCACCACCATCACCACCACCATCATCATCATCATCATCACCACCACCATCACCACCATCACCACCACCACCACCACCATCGCCATCATGATCACCACCACAATCATCACCACCACTGTCACCACCACCACCGTCACCACCATTACCACCATCATCACCACCACCACCACCATCACCACCACCACCACCACCATCATCACCATCACCATCACCACCATGATCACCACCACCATTATCACCATCACCACCATCACCACCACCACCACCATCACCACCACCACCACCATCACCACCACCACCACCATCACCACCACCACCACCACCATCATCACCATCACCATCACCACCATGATCACCACCACCATTATCACCATCACCACCATCACCACCACCACCACCATCACCACCACCACCACCATCACCACCACCACCACCATCACCACCACCATCACCACCACCACCATCACCACCACCATCATCACCACCATCATCACTTCCATTACCATTGCCACCACCACCATCACCACCACCACCATCACCACCATCATCACTGCCACCACCATCATCACCATCACCACCACCACCATCACCACGATAATCACCTCCATCACCATTGCCACCACCACCATCACCACCACCACTATCATCACAGCACCACCACCATCACCATCACCACCATCATCACCGCTACCACCATCACCACCACCATTATCACCACCACCGTCACTACCACCACGACCACCACCATCACCACCACCATCAGCACCACCATTATCACCACCACCATCATCACCATCACAACCAGCACCATCATTATCACCACATCACCAGTAGCAGCATGACCACCATCACCACCACCATTATCACCACCACAACCACCATCAATACCACCATCACCACTACCACTCCAGCACCATCACAAAAAGCACCATCATTATCACCACTACCACAAGCAGCAGCATGACCATTATTATCACCACTACCATCATTACCACCATCATCATTACCACCAGCACCACCATCATCATCACCACCACCATCATTACAAGCAGCACCATCATTATCACCACCACCAGCAGCAGCAGCATGACCACCATCACCACCACCATCATCACTACCGTCATCACCACCGTCACCATCATAACCACCATCATTATCATCACCATTAAGGCCACCATCATCACCATCATGACTGCCATCACCACCACCGTGTGTGGGAGTAGCAGCAGAGAGAAGGCAGAGCCCTGGGGCATGCCTGCATTCAAGAGGCAGCAGAAAGGGAGGAGGCTGCACACACACACACATCAGACAGGTAAGAGGAGAACAGGAGAGAACGTGTCTCAGAATCAGAGGGCAAAGAGAGTTGCAAAGAGGGAGTTAGAACAGTGTTTGACATCCCAGGGAGGCCTGCGAGGTGGGACAAATGCCTGTCCAGGGCTTGGGGGCAGCATTCGCAGGGGTTGGAGGGTCAGAGCAGATGGCAGTGGGTGCAGGAGTGAATGGGAGGTGGGAGTGGAGTGAAGGCACCAGGGTGCTGGTTGGAAAGAATCTCCTGGTTGCTGAGTGGAGAACAGATGGAGGGAGAAGCCCAAGGCGAGGATGTCAGGAGGGGCTGGTGCAGTCCTCCATATGGGAGATGGTGGCCGCCCTACCTAGGGAAGAGGCCATAGGGAGGGAGACTCAGGGGCCTTGAAGGAGAAACCCTTGGCCACGCTGGCCATCTGGACACCTCATCCTCATTGCCACTATATGTTTGCTAGGGCCGCCATAACAAAGTACCACAAACTGGGTGGCTTAACACAACAGAGGTTTATCCTCTCCCAGTTCTGGAGGCCGGAAATCTGAAATCAAGATGTCAACAGGGTAGGTTCCTTCTGGAGGCTCTGAGGCAAAAAAATGCCATGCCCTTCTGCTGGCTTCCGATGGTTGCAGCCTGCCCTTGGCATCTATGGCTTGTAGAGGCAGTCCTCCCATCTCTGCCTCTGTGATCACCCGGTGTTTTCCTCTCTGTGTCTATGTCCAAATTTCCCTCTTCTTGTAAGGACATTAATCGTTGGATTAGAGCCCACCCTAATCCAATGTGACCTCATTTTATCTTGAATATATCTGCAAAGACCTTCTTCTGGATAAAGTCGCATTCATAGGTAGCGGGAGATAGGACTTCATCATATCTTCTGGGGGGACACAGTTTAAACCACTGCAGCCACGGTCACACTGGCTGTCATCCCCATTGCTAGAGGCATTTAATCAGCACCTAATTGTCCCCAGAGCTGGCCCAGGCACAAGGATCCTGCTCTCATGGAGCTTATAGTCTATGACCCAAACACTGGACAGAAATATTGGGGAACAGGGCTGGGGCTTGGCAGATCAGGGGAGTGCCTGGGGCCACCCTTTGGAGTGCCGTCCTCAGAGTTGGCCTAGGAAAAGAAAGCAGGCTGGGGGGAGGGGTTGCAGCGTCTGCCCCAGCACCTCCTCTCCTTCCCTGGCATTTGGATAAATCCACAAAGAGCCCATGACATCTGGAGCCTGTGTAAACGGAGCATAAATTAGCTCTAACAATCGCATCTGGAGCTGCCACGCTGCAGTCTGTTTCCTGCCGAACCCTGGGTGGGCTTGGGGTGGGTGGGAGGGCAGAAGGTGGCCTGACTGTGCCTGAAATCCCACTGTTAGCATCACTTTATTTTTAGAAGCTTCTGCTAAAATGCATGTGTGCTCATGGCACGCGGGACACCAATTCCAGGATTCTTTTCCTAGATTGTGGAGTCGGGAGGCTAATGATGGGGACATGGTGGGGCAAGCCTTGCAAAGCGGAGAAGTCGATGGGTGGGGCACCTCCCGGGGGCGAAGGAAACTGAGGACAGGCTTGGGGGCTGCTGGGAGGGAGGGATGAGAGGGGACAAGCCAGAGCCAGGTGTGGCCACGAAGCCAATGTCACATCCTGCACCATGCTTCCAGCATCACACTGTGAGTCCCAGAGCCAACCAGGGTTGAGGAGGTAGGGAATGGACTACCGGGGCCCAGACCTTTCCACGCATTAACTCATTTGACTTCAGCTTATACTGATGGTGCCTGGTGAGGATGGTTTGTATCATCCCCATTTTACAGATGAAGAAACTGAGAGCCAAGACCAGACCATTCCCAGGTCTCTGAGCCAGGATCTGAACCAGGTGCTTCGACTCCTCATCTTCCTTGTTGTCTTGCCCCACACCTGTCCAAAGAGAAGGTGAGCCTGGGTAACAAAGCAAGACTCTGTCTCTACCAAAAATTTTAAAAATTAGCCAGGCCTGGTGGCATCCACCTGTATTCCCAGCTACTCTGGAGGCTGAGGAGGGAGGATTGCCAGAGCCCAGGAGTTCAAGGCTGCGATTAGCTGAGATCACACCACTGCACTGCAGCCTGGGTGAGACAGTGAGATCCTGTCTCTAAAAAAAAAAAAATTTAATAAATAAAGAGAATGTGCACATGTATGTGTGCATATATGTGAGAGCATCTCTGGGTGAATAAGCATGCAAAGGCATAGCATGTGAGTGTGTAGGAGTGTCGGT
This sequence comes from Homo sapiens, assembly GCF_000001405.40. Taxonomy (NCBI): domain Eukaryota; kingdom Metazoa; phylum Chordata; class Mammalia; order Primates; family Hominidae; genus Homo; species Homo sapiens. The sequence goes on from NC_000012.12 coordinate 109,638,608, forward strand.
GTGTGCTAATGTGTGTGTATGGGATGGGAGGGGGCAGCCTCTCCCCCGACCTGGGGTCAAGTGTAGAAGCCAAGGTCCCCTCTTCCCCACCTGACCCAATCAGCAGGGCCACCATCAACTGGAGTCATCCATTATTGGGCACCTACTGTATATAGGACCAGCACGTTCATCTTCACACTTATTCAATATAATAGGCAGGCTATTTCTTGAGCACCTACTATGCGCCAAGCCTCACACCAGGCACTGGGGATAGGAGATAAGTGAGACACAGTCCCTGGCCCTAAGATGCTTGCTGTCCAGTGGGGGAGGCAGCCATGGCACAGCTGAACTTGGCAGTAGACTGTAGGAGGTATCCTATGAGATTAAGTTCACAGCACTGGGAGGTGGGCTTCCTGGAGGAGGTGGCATTTGGGATTTGGCTTCCTGAGCATATGGGCTGTGTCTGGTTCATGCTGAACCCCTGCTCCCAGCTCAGTGCTGGGCACCATAGTTGTCCCCTCCGTGTTTGTTGAATGACTATTGATACGGTATGGATGTGTCCCCAACCAAATCTCATCTCGAATTGTAATCCTAATTGTAATCCCCATGTGTTGGGGGAGGGACCTGGTGTGAGGTGATTGGATCATGGAGGCAGTTTCCCCCATGCTATTCTCGTGATAGTGAGTGAGTTCTCATGAGACCTGATGGTTTTATAAGTGGTGGTTTCCCTTGCTCTCTTCTCTCTCCTGCCACCTTGTGAAGAAAGTGCCTGCTTCCCCTTCGCCATGATTGTAAGTTTCCTGAGGCCTCCCCAACCAAGCAGAACTGTGAGTTGATTAAGCTTCTTCCTTTACAAATCACCCAGTCTCAGGGAAGTTCTTTATAGCAGTGTGAAAATGGACTAATACAACTATTGATTAGAAAATGAGCAGGTTCTCAATAGGCAGAGTTAGTTGCGGGGAGAGTCAGCCCGCCGAGGGCCCAGAGACACGGAGGTAGGGAAGCCCAAGGCGTTTCGATTAGGGCCTTTTTGGAGATCCTCGGCTAGGAGAAAGAGCACATACTTAGGAATCAGGCAGTTCTGGGGGGAACCTGGCCCCAGGACTTATGTGCTTGCTGGGTGACTCTTGGCAAGTTTCTTAACCTCTCTGATCCTATTTTCTCACCTCCAAAGTGGAGCCTCAGGTGACCTATATTTGTTTTTCTTTCTTTTCTTTCTTTTTTTTTTTTTTTTTTAAGACAGGGTCTTGCTCTGTCATCCAGGCTGGAGTACAGTGGAGTGATCTTAGCTCACTGAAGCCTCGACCTCTTGGGCTCAAGTGATCCTCCCACCTCAGCCTCCCAAGCAGCTGGGATTACAAGCACCCACCACCATGTCCCAGCTAATTTCTTTTCTTTTTTTTTTTTTTTTTTTGTAGAGATGGGGCCTTGCTATGTTGCTCAGGCTGGTCTCAAACTCCTGGCCTCAAGTGATCCTCCCACTGCAGCCTCCCAAAGTACTGGGGTTACAGGTGTGAGCCACCTCATCCAGCTTTTTTTTTTTTTTCTTTTTCTTATGGAAACTTAAACACACAAATGAGTGAAAAGAATAGAATCATGAACTTTTATGAACCCATCACGTAACGTGAGCAATCACCAACATTTTGCCATTCTGGTTTGAAGACATTAAAATGGCCATTAAAGTCAGCACGGAGTGGAGACAATAGAACAGCTCTGACCAAGTTAGGGCCCTTGGGCAGTAATAACTCTGCCAGGACCGCTGCCTGGCTGGCAGGGACTGGAGGCCACTGTTACTGCAAAGCGTGCCCCAGTTCCAGAGATGTCAAAATGTGAGTCTTGGTATTGATCAAATACAGCAGCAGAGAGGCCAGGCTGCATTTTACTTGAGACATGCAGTTAGTGACTAAACAGGGGGTCAGGCTTTTCCTCACTCAATTCTTTGGGAGTTTTTTTTGTTTTGTTTTGTTTTGTTTTGTTTTGTTTTTTTGGTGTTTTCAGCCTCTCCCCACAACCAAAACACAAACAGATGACCCTAGGATTATTAAGATCAAAAGCAGGGCCAGGCGCGGTAGCTCACGCCTATAATCCCAGCACTTCGGGTGGCTGAATCAGGGGTATCACTTGAGGTCAGGAGTTCGAGACCAACTTGGCCAACATGGTGAAACCCCGTCTGTACTAAAACTACAAAATTAGCCAGGCTTGCTGGCGTGTGTCTGTAATCCCAGCTACTCAGGCGGCTAAGGCAGGAGAACCACTTGAACCCAGGAGTTGGAGGGTGCGGTGAGCTGAGATCACGCCATTGCACTCTAGCCTGGGTGACAGAGCAAAACTCCATCTCAAAAAAAAAAAAGATCAAAAGCGCTCGTGGAGTGGAGAGATACCAGCTGTTGTAGGTGCAGTCAGGGAGGCTCTAGGAGGAGGTGACTTGAGCCAAGATCTAATTAGTGCACAAAAAGAATAAATGCTCCAGGCAGAGGAATTGTCAAGAGGTGGCCTTTAGGTCCAGGGAACTGGCTGAAGATCAATGCGGTTTGTGTGCACATGCTGGGGATGACGGGAGAAGCAGGAAATGGGGCCGGGAAGTCAGGGAAATCCACTCTGGGCCTTGGAGGCCATGTGAGAGCCTTTGACATGAGCTTGAGAGCAGTGCTAGCTATTGGGGGTTTTTGGTGTTTTGTTTTGTTTTTTAAATTTTTAAAATTTCAATAGCTTTAGGGGTACAAGTGGTTTTTGGTTACATGGATGAGCTGTGTAGTGGTGAAGTCTGGGATTTTAGTGTACCCAGCACCCAAATAGAGTACATTGTACCCAATAGGTAGTTTTTCATTCCTCACCCCCCTTCTAACCTCCCCTTCTGAATCTCCAGTGTCCGTTAGACCATTCCACATGCCTTTGCATACCCACAGCTTAGCTCCCACTTATAAGTGAGAAGATGTGATATTTGGTTTTCCATTCCTGAGTTACTTCACTTGGGTTAATGGCATCCAGTCCCACCCAAGTTGCTGCAAAAGACACGTTTCCATTTTTTATGGCTGAATAGTATTCCATGGTGTATATATATACCACATTTTCTTTATCTGCTCATCAGTTGATGGGCACTTAGGTTGATTCCAAATATTTGCTATTGTGAATTGTGCTGCCATAAACATTATGTGTGCATGTGCCTTTTTGATAGAATGACTTCTGTTCCTTTGGGTAGATACCCAGCAGTGGGACTGCTGGATTGAATGGTAGATCTACTTTTAATTTTTTTTTTTTTTTGAAATGGAGTCTCGCTCTGTTGCCCACCCTGGAATTGCAGTGGCACGTTTTCAGCTCACTGCCACCTCCACCTCCTGGGTTCAAGCAATTCTCCTGCCTCAGGCTTCTGAGTAGCTAGGACTACAGGCATGAGCCACCACACCTGACTAATTTTTGTATTTTTAGTAGAGATGGGGTTTCACCATGTTGGCCAGGCTGGTCTCAAACTCCTGACCTCAAGTGATCCACCCGCCTCAGTCTATATATATATATATAAAATATTATATATATAATATAATTATATATATATAATATAATAATATAATATATATATAATATAATTATATTATATATATATATATATTTTTTTTTAAGAAACAGAGTCTTGCTCTGTCCCATAAGCTGTAGTGCAGTGGCATGATCATCTCACTGCAGCCTTAAATTCCTGGACTCAAGCGATCCTCTTGCCTCAGCCTCCTGAGTAGCTGGAACTACAGGCACTTGCCAACATGCCCGGGCTAATTTTTAATTTTTTTGTAGAGACAGGGGTCTGGCTGTGTTGCCCAGGCTGGTCTCGAACTCTGAGGCTACAGCGATCTTCCTACCTGGGACCTCCCAAAGTGCTAGGATTACAGGCACGAATCATCATATCCAGCCTAGGTTTTCATTTTTAAAAGAGCCAGTGTTCTTTTCTTCCAGAGGTATAATAATGCCATGCTCACCCCCCATGATGGAAACCCCCAGGCCTGGGTCTTCACCCTCTCTGCCCCCCTTTCCTTGGTAGGCCCCTGGCATGGCTTCATCACTTCACCACCTTCTATGTGCTGGGGATGCCCCCGTTTCTATCCCCAGCCCAGGCCTCACCCCCAAGCTCAAGGATCATGTGTCCAGCTGGTCACCCAACCTCGCCAGCAGGCATTGCACACTCACCAAGTCCCAAACCGACCCCTGGACACTCCCTAACCCTGACCTGTTTCCTCCTGAGTCTTCCTCTTCTCGGTTAGCAGCAGCTTCATCCTGCGAGGCCCAAACCTTTCCTCTCTTGCTTACCCTGAATGGCTGATCCATCAGCCAGTCCTGTCAGTGTTACCTCCTATCTACATCCGGAATCTGCCACTTCTCACCACCTCCATCACTACTGCCCACGCTGGACCACGCCCCCATCCTCCCGAGCCTCGCCACTGGCCTTCCTACCTCCATCTTTGCTCCATTCTTAGTCTATTCTTCTCATGACTACCAGATGGAACCTTTACAGAGATAAGGCAGCTTGTTACTCCTCTGCTCAACAACCCACCATGGCTCCCAGCTCCCTCTGTGAAAAGCCAGTCTGTCCAGTGGCCCTGAGAGTCCACTGGCCTTGGCCCCAGGCCCTCTCTGGACATATCCATCCCTCTGTCCTTACTCACTCTCCCTCAGCTTCTGGCTTGTTCCCTTATAACCTGTAGCTTAAAAAAAAATAGGCCAGGTGTGATGGCTTATGCCTGTAATCCCAGCACTTTGGGAGGCCAAGGTGGGAGGATCACTTGAAGCTAGAAGTTCAAGACCAGCCTGAACAACATAGTGAGACCCCATCTCCATTTAAAAAAAAATTTTTTCTTGTAATTCAGATGTAATTCACATACCATAAAAGTCACCCCTCGTAATGTGGACAATTCAGCAGTTTTAGTATATTCATGAAGTTATACAATCATCACCACTCTAATTCCAGAACATTTTCATCAGCCCAGAAGGAAGCCCTGCACCCCTTAGTTGTCACTTCCCATTCCTCCCTCCACACCCTGTCCTGGGGAACCAGTCACCTACTTTCTGTCTCTACGGATACGCCTATTCTATCCATTTATATAAATGAATTCTGACAATATGTGGCCAATATCTGGCTTCTTCACTTTGCATCATGTTTTCAAGGTTCATCCAGGGGTGGTACCTCACACCTGTGATGCCATCACTTTCGGAGACCCAGGTGGGAACATCACTTGAGGCCAGGAGTTTGAGACCAGCCTGGGCAATATAGCAAGACCCTGTCTCCACACACACACATAAAATTAGCCTGGCATAGTTGCACCTGTAGTCCTAGTGACTCAACAGGCTGAGGCAGGAGGATCAGTTGGACCTGGGAGGTCCAGGCTGCAATGAGCTATGGTCACACCACTGCACTCCTACCAGGGTGACAGAACAAGACCTTGTCTCTATTTTTAAAATAAAATAAAATATGCATCTTGTTGACCTGTGGCATTTTCTATCTGTATCATCCTTGTGTCTGCCTCTCCCCTCTAGAATACCAGTGACCCGAGGGTTCACTGATCTTCTGCACCCAAGACAGCACCTAATACAGAGAAGGGACTCAATCTATATTGGTGGAATGAATGAATGAATGAATGATGGTGTTGGAGAGGCTTGACCTTTTCACGAGACTCCCCTATATCCCAGCATCCTCTGCACAACTGAAGCCAACCCCTATTCAAACCCCCACAAAGTCACCCCCATTTCTGGGGCACCCTCCCTGCATCTTCAACTCCTAGGTGGACCCCACCTCTCTCTCCTCCAACCTCCCAGAGCTCCGAGTCACTTTGTCTCTGTTGGGACCCTCTCTGTTATCTCCGAGACGACCATCTCTCAGGCTCCTGTTAGGCCCCCTGAGGGGCAGCAAGTGGATTCTGTTCACCTTTGCATCCTGAACATGCCAGGGTATGGTAGATGTCTCCTAACAACAACACAGTGTGTGGAGTGAATGCTTTGAAGGATCTTCCAGCCCTAAAGAGGCTTCTCTTCCCTCTCACGGTGCCTGGAATCCACCACAGCATCAGCCTGCAGGACGTGTGGTGTCCCCAGAAGTGGCCCATCTGGAGAAGATGAGGAGGGAACACCTTGCTCAGCCCCTTGGAGCTGTGAATGTGTGGGTGGGCAGAGCACAGGCATGCTCTTGTCCCCTTGAGCCCCAGGAGGCAGCCACAGCAGGCACTGCCCTTGTCCCCATGCTACAGATTGGGAAACTGAGGCTTATATGTCAAGGAGGGTTGCAAGCTGAGTGACTTGCCCAAGATCCCTGCTGCTACTTCTTGAAGGAGCCCAGAATCAACCCCAAGGGTCTCTGACTTCAAACCCCACTGTCTCCATCCCACACCATTTTGGGGGCCACATTTAGGCCCTGGCCCACCTATGTCAGATTCATCAAGGGAACTGATTTGTGAAGTAGATGCCCAGGTCCCAGCTGGGAGGTTCTGTTTCAGTGGATCTGGGTAGGGGCCTGGGACTCCAACTTTTGAACCAGCTACCGAGCTGATCCTAATGCTTTCTGAGCTGGGAGACCCCTGGGTCTGCACCCTCCTGCATATAAGGGTCTGAGACAGGAGAATCAGGACTCAGGAGTTTTGAAATCAAGAGTGGCCTGGTGTCTGAGTCCTGAAGGTGCCCTGCTTGATGGGGACTCAGGCCCCTGCCTCTGCCCCTCTTCCTACATGGGGGCTGCTGCCAGCGAGCACGGCTTTGCTGGTAAAGTCTTTATCGGGAATGTCGCCTAATGCATTCATATCAAACAATAGCGCCTCATACATCATCCCTGCCAGAGGCCACCTCTGCTAAGACAAGCACAGTCCGTTACCCTGACGGGTGCAGGCCGTGCACAAAACAGATAACAGGTCCCGGCTGTGCAGGGTGACGTGGGGTGGGGAGTTGTCACAGTGAGCACCTAAGGGGCCTTGGGCAGCTGCCACCCCAGGTGGTCGGGACATGGGATGTCTGAGGTTCCAACCTCATAGGGCAGTAGATTGGATGTTGGTGGACAGCCTGGCTCTGCCTCCTCCGGGAAGCAAGTCAACCTTTCTGAGCCTCTTTCCCCCATTTGTCAAAGGGGGTTAGGAATAGGACTTGTGTCACATAGGGCTGCTTGCGGAGCTTGAGACAGGAGACTGGTAAAGTGTCAGGCACAATGCCCAGGGAAGAGAAGATATCTGATACACGGTAGCTATACCTACTATATTATTACCAGGGCCCCATCGACTGCGGCCTGCCCCTTTCCAGGGACAGCCTTCAGAAAGATAATGGTCTTCGTTATCTCCAGGCTCCTGCGGGCATGGAGGGACAATTCTCACCCGCGCCTGCCTGCTGCATCCCCAGAAGCAGAGCCTGACACAGGGACTGGAAAGCAAGTCATTTATTTTGGAGATGAAGCTCACACCAGTCGGAGACGGGGAAAGGGAGGCAGGAGGAAGGGCAGCTGAGAAAGGCTGTGTGATAAAGCTGGACAATCACTGTGGGCCACCCGGGTGTTGTCCCCTGGGCAGCAGTGTGGGATACACACTTCAAGGGGCTGGGGGCTGGAGAGCTGATAGATCATCTCCCATCACCATGGGGACTGCTCCAGGGGACATTCATTCTTGAATACTTCCGGCTCGGTGTATAAGTGGCAAAACAGTCTTGGGAGAAATGCCTGGGGCAGAGAAATGTGGGTGCTGGTAGCTAGAGGCTGGACTCACATGCACCCACGTGGTAAGGGTCTGGGACATGGGTGGGGTGCTATTAGGGGCCGAATTGTGTACCACCAAATTCATATATGGAAATCCCAGCCCCCACTACCTAAGAATGTGACTGTACTTGGAGACAGGACCTTTATGCAGGTAATTCAGGTAAAATGAGGTCATTGAGGGTAAGCCCTAATCCAACATGACTGGTGTCCTCACAAGAAGAGGCGATTAGGACCCAGACACACAAAGGGAAAAGCCTGGGTCAAGACACCAGGAGGTGGCCAGCTACAGGCTAAGGAGAGACCTCGGAAGAAATCAGTCCCCCTGATACTTGAGTTTAGACTTCTAGCCTCCAGAACTGTGAGAAAGTCAACTTCTGTGGATGAAGCCACCCAGGCTGTGGCATTTTGTTATGGCAGCCTGAGCAATGAACACAGACACTGCCACTCCTCCTCTCTCTCATTTCTGGCCATTCACCCTCTTTGCTAAGAGTCAAGTTCCGCTCTCGATCCAGCCACCACCACCCTGTCTGGATGCCCCAAGTTTCCCCAGTCCTCTTTTGCCTCAAGATCTTGGCCTTTGCTATTCCCTCCACCTAGAATGCTCTTACCCCAGATCTTCATGTCTTCGTTCTTCCTGTCTCTGCTCACTGGTCCTCTTTGTGCAGAGGTCCTCCCCTACCCCTTTATCCTTCTCTTTCACCTTAGCCTGTTGTATTTTCTTTTGTGCACTGCTCTGGCCCTGCCTTACTTGTTTGTTTACTGTCATCTCCCTCCACTGAAATGCAGGTTCGTGATGGCCGGAGCCTTGTCCATCTTGTTCGTTACTTTGACCTCAGTGCCCAGAACAGTGCCTTTTTTAGAGTAGGGATCAGCAAATTTGGGGAGAGTCAACATGAGTTCAGGAGTGGAGCCTGACTAGCCAGCTCCCCATGCAGCCAGCTCTTGAGAGTGTTTCAAAGCTGTTTGCATTTCCTCCTTCCCTTCAGCCCAGTACAGGCACATAGTAGGTGCTCAATAAATTATTGAGAAGGAAGAACAAGGTCTGTGGGGGCAGCTGTCTTTGTTTATCTATATGCCTGGTGGGTTTTCCTTTGTTTTTCACCTAGAAAGTTCAAAGCCATGGATGTGCTTTAAACGGATAGATTTTCCTTTCTCTACGTCTGCCGGGAGGAGGTCACCAGCTGAGGGCCCGCGAGGCCAGGAAGCACAGTGCCCTGCCATTCAGGACCAGAAAGCACAAAAGGCAGTTGCATCCCACCCGAAGAGTAAGGGGAAAAGAAAGAATCATCAGATTATTTCAGAGTCACTGAGGACCACAGTGAAAACCAAGGAGATTTTGCTGATGCCAGAAGCAGTGAGGGGTTGGTGACATAGGTGCCCTGGTAAGGGAGGGAGGAGATCTCTGATCCTGCTACTCCCAGGATCCACACTAAGCACTTTTTAGCATGAGCTCACTGGATCTTCACCCCAGCTCTGGGAGGCAGCCTGGGGTGGTGGTTAAAGTGGAAACTCCGGAGCTCTATCTCCTGGATTCAAATCCCATCCCCACACCTCAAGGGCTGTGTGTCTTTGGGGAAGTGTATGCAGCTCCCTGGGCGTCGGTCTACTTTGGTCTGTGAAATGGGTAATGGTAACTATTTCAGACAGTTGTTACAAGGGCCAAAAGTAAAACCTGATGGTATGAGTCTGAACCCAGTTAGAATTGGTTCCCCAGAATTCCTGGTTAACCTCACATGTGACTTTATTCTGCGTGGAATCAAATACTTTGTACTCCATCTTTGATGTTGCGGCAGGGCTTTTACTGCATTGAAAGCCCTTGAACAGTGCTATGTCAGTGGCAGCCATGATTATTGTTAATCTCATTTTAAAGATGACAAACCACTGTCCGAGCTGGCAGTTGGCAGAAGTCCACAGGCAGGAGAGGGCATTTTGGTGGCCCCAAGGCCTGAGGACAGGGGTGGGTTTAGACATTTCAGCCCAACCCAGGAGCTGTTGGCTGATCCAGAGGGGCAGCAGCTTCATTACCTGCCCTGCTCTCAATCAGCCAAGTCAAGTGAAGGAAAAACGTGACTGTAAGCCAGGGCTTTATCTGCTGCCCTGTGGACAGCCATGCTGGGCTGGGTCTCCTCCCTCTGGGCCCAGAAGCTGAGAGTCAGATGGCCACTGTCCACTCAAATAAACCAGAAAAGCACACCTACAGCAGACAGGGATGGAGATTGGGTTTGGGGTTGCGTAGCGGCCCGGAGAGTAGGGGAGTGGGCCAGGCTCTTTGCAGCACATGATTAAAGACCTCAGTAATTGTGTCTGACTGGGACTCATCCCCAGGGCTGGACACGAGGGGGATCCCAAAGCCCAGATGTGGCCCAGGGTCAGAGGCTGACGGAGGGTGGGGAGCACCCCCTTGTAGCTCCTGAGCAGCGAGTCCTGTGGTTCTAGAAGATGGTGCCATACATCACTCGACACGCCTTTCCATGGGACCAGCCGGGCTGACAGCAGCCATTTATCTGAATGTCATTGGCAGTAAACTGGCGCAGGGGAGGGTGGTGAGGAGGGAGGGAGCTGGGGACCAAGTGGAGAGGAGAGGGTCCTTGGGAATTTCCCAGAGGCCAGTCCACAGCCACAGCCTTGGTGAGGGGAGCAGGCAGGGCAGTGACAAGGCTGCCATGGGGAGACAAAGCAAAGCTGTCCATGGTGCCAAATGCCACCTTCTTTCTCACTGGAGACACTTGGGGTAGAGGTAGAGGTGAACTCAGTGCTAACCTGGAAGTCAGGTGGAAGTTGGGACCAACTCCGTGGAGAGACACTCTGGTTGGGGAGGAGGTGCCTTTCGTAGACCCTCATGGTTATTAGCATGGAATTTGGACTTTGGAGCCATAATCCTGTTGTCTTCTTTCATTTAAAGAATATGGGCCGGGCGCGGTGACTCACATCTCTAATCCCAGCGCTTTGGGAGGCCAAGGCGGGTAGATCACGTGAGGTCAGGAGTTTGAGAGGCCAGCCTGGCAACATGGCAAAACCCTGTCTCTACTAAAAATACAAAAATTAGCCAGGTGTAGTGGCACATGCCTGTAATCCCAGCTACTTGGGAGGTGGAAGCAAGAGAATCACTTGAACCTGGGAGGCAGAGGTTGCAGTGAGCCAAGATCTCACCATTCTACTCCAGCCTGGGTGACAGAACAAGACTCCGTCTCAAAAAAATAAAAATAAAGAATATGCCCGGGAACAGTGGCTCACACCTCTAATCCCAGCACTTTGGGAGGCCAAGGTGGATGGGAAGCTTGAGCTCAGGAATTGGAGACCAGCCTGTCCAACATGGTGAGACCCCATCTCTACCAAAAATACAAAAAATTAGCTAGGCCTAGTGGCACATGCATGTAGTCCCAGCTACTCGGGAGGCTGAACCAGGAGGATAGTTTGAGCTCAGGAAGGGGAGCTTCCAGTGAGGCGAGATCATGCCACTGCCCTCCAGCCTGGGTGAAAGAGTGAGACCCTGTCTCAAAAAGAAAGAAAGAAAGACTACACAACCTAAAGTAAGCATTTCACCACTGGCTGTGTGACCCGGGGCAAGTGACTTAACCTCTGTGAGCCCCAGTTTCCTCATCTGTAAAATGAGGGTAGTAATCATAGCTGCTCCACCAGGTCGTGGGAGGATTCGGGGAGCTAATTAGCAGTGCCTGGCTCATGGAAAGTGCTCGGTAAGTCTTAGCTGGTGTTATTATCATTATTAATGCTATGATGCTCTGATAAGCAATACCAGGGGGAGCCAGGCTTCGTTTAGAGAGCCAGGGAAGACCTGATTAAAGCTTGCATGGGGGAGGGTATAAAGCATTCCAGCCAAAAGAGATGGCACAGAGGCCCTGAGGCAGGAAGGGGCAAGACACCATCCAACAGCTAAAAGGAAGCCAGAGGGGCTGCACAAATCCCCAGGCCTCAGTTTCTTAATCTGTTACATGGGCATAATAGTAGAACCTATTACCTTCGAGGCTGTGAGGGTTAAGTGAGACTGTGTTTAAAGTTTCCAGCATAAGGCCAGGTTCAGTGGCTCATGTTTGTAATTCCAGCACTTTGAGAGGCTGAGGAGGGCAGATGGCTTGAGTTCAGTAGTTTCAGACAAGCCTGGGCAGCATGGCAAAACCTGGTCTCTACAAACATTTCAAAAATTAGCTGGGTGTGGTGCTGCACATCTGTAGTCCCAGATACTTGGGAGGCTGAGGTGGGAGGATCGCTTGAGCCCCAGCATTAGAGGCTGCAGTAAGCCATGACAGTGCCACTGCCCTCTAGCCTGGGCGACCAAGTGAGACCCTGTCTCAAACAAACAAACGAATAAAAACACAAAGTGAGTCAAAGAAAGCATGTTTATGGCCTAAATTTGACCTGTGAAAGGTCATGCGCTCAGTAGGTGTTCAATAAATGAGGCCCCTTTCCCTTGGGAAGTCTCCACCTCCAATCTCCAGAGCCACTCCCTCCTCTGTGTCTCTGCCTCTACCTCCCTGCTTAGAGTTCAGACCTTCCTAGGCCAGGCTGGCACCCTGGGACCTGAGACCTAGATCCCTCCAGTTCAAGAAGAAGCTGAGCCTCACCCAAATCTAAGCACCCCCCCAATCCCCATCCCTCCTCCTGCCTGCCTGGGGACCCAGGATCACAAGGACACAGGTGGCTGGTGTGGGAGGCACATGTTACCAGCCTTGTCACCACTGCTGCCACTGCACCCTCCCCTGTCTGTGGCTTCGGAAAACCCTAGGAGCCAGGTGACAGGATTCCCCAGGGTCTGCACCTGCTTCAGGGACGGCGGCTGTGACTCAGAAGTGCGACCAGGTTCAGTTGATGGTAAATGCTCCAGTGAAACAGGCAGAAAAGAAGTGACATGAGGTCAGGGCCAGAGGGAGCCTTGGAGGTCAGCCCAACAGTGTTCAGTGGGGAAACTGAGGCCCAGGTAATGGAAGGTCACATAGCAAGGTGCTAGGACCCAGGTCTGCTGACTAGAAGAGATTCACGACACCTGGGCCGGCGTGGTGGCTCACACCTGTAATCCCAGCACTTTGGGAGGCCAAGGCAGATGGATCACCTAAGGTCAGGAGTTTGAGCCCAGCCTGGCCAACATGGTAAAACTCCATCTCCACTAAAAAATACAAAAAATTAGCCGGGCATGGTGGAGCATGCCTGTAGCCCCAGCTGCTCAGGAGGCTGACGCGGGAGAATTGCTTAAACCTGGGAGGCGGAGGTTGCAGTGAGCCGAGATCACACCACTGCACTCCAGCCTGTCCAGCCTGGAAGACAGAATGAGACTCCATCTCAAAACAAACAAACAAACAAACAAACAAACAAAAAAACAAAAAAAAGATTCATGACACCTTTCTTCCAGAACAAAGTCTAGAGCAGGGGTATCAGAGCTGAGGCATCATATTCCCTGGGCTTCCATATCCCCTGGGTCATGGAAAGAGGATGGCACTGGAGGCTTACAGGCTGTGTTTCCGTCCTGGTTCTGCCACTTACTGTGTGTCCTCAGGCAAGTTGCTTAGCCTCTCTGGACCTCCAGTACATCATCTGTAAAGTGGGAATAAGCCCTTTGCCAAAGTTAAGTGAGAATTTGTGTAAAATGTCCAGTTCATAATGGATATGTAAAAGTCTTTTTTTTTTTAAAGGCACTTATACCTGGCTTCATTTAAAAAGGGCTGAGAAGTGACTTAGAAATATACACCATGATGCCAAAGCAGAAAATGCCCTGATGAGGGGAACATGACGGATGGCGGGATAAGGTTCCATATGTCAAGCAGTGGGCTAAACATGGTCTCAGAGTGTCCTGGCAGCCAAAGCAAAGAGAGATACACAGGCATTACTTGACTCCTAGAGTCCATAAGCTAAGAAACTACTAGTTGCTTAGGGGAGGAAAAAAATTGGTTTTTCATAGTAATGAGATGTGAGAAATATCTCATGTGAGTCTTCAAAAATGAACACTGTAAAAAGTTGTGTTAATTCTCTTTCCCTTCCACACTCTCAGCCCTTCTCTAACTACTCATTAGGGTCACCCAAACCCTACAACCTCAGCTGATGGCATCATGGCTAAGAGCCGAGGCCTTGAAGACAAAACCAGACTCCATCCCTGTGCAGCCTTGGGCTAGTGTCTTCCCCTCTCTGAGCCTCAGTTTCCTCATCTGTAAAATGGGGCGGGAGGATTTATAATGATAACTATCTCACTGGGTTGCCTGGAAGATTCTAGGAGTTATCTTCCATAAAGAGTTTGGAATGGAGTCTGGTACACAGTAAGTGCTCAATAAATGGTGGCTGTTACAGGAGTAACTCAATAAATGTTCAATGAATGAATAGCACAGGGCATCTTATCTCCCAAACCGTCCCTTCTGCGCTTCTCGGCAGCAGGCTTTCTCCCCACACCAAATTGAAACTCCTGGTGTGTGTGTGGTGTGTGTGTTTGTTTTAATCAATTCCAGGGTTTGTGGGAGCCAAAAAGCCCAGGTTAATGGAACAGAGCCGAATCCCCTGTGAATTTCAAACCCTCCTTGAAAGGCCTTTGCTTTTTCCTGCTCAGTCACTGGGAAGCTGCTGCCTCCACTCTCCACTCGGGGAGGAGAAATTGAATAATTGATGCAATTTGAATAACACTAGGATTTGTAATGATATTGAAATGTAAAGATAAAAAGGGGCGTGAACAGGCGCTGATAGCGGAAGGAAAAGTTGTTAATAGGCACTTAGGGGCTGGTGTTGGGGGGAACGCACCACTGGAAACACACACTGAAAAGGCATTTAAAAGAGGAGGCACAGGGGGTGGGGGTGAGCTGGGAAACCTCCACCCAACAAGAGGGAAAACCATATTCATAAATAAGATGCAGAAATTTCTCCCGACTCAGCAGCACTAACAGTTAGAGAGTGGATAATTATTTAAATGCCAAATCATTCTGTTCATTAGAATCCCAAATCACAGCTAAAGAAACTGATTGCCCAGGGCAGGGCTGAGGAGGTGGTGGAGGAGGAGGGAGGTGGCTGGAGGAGCAGGAAATCAGGGGAGAGTTTCCCTAACCTCTGGTCCATGCCAGGAGTAAGATGAGATACAACAGAGGAAGAAGTGGCTTCAAAAGTCAGAGAGACTTGGGTTCAAGTCCAGGATCTGGTACTTCCTGGCGTGTGGGCATGTTACCTTACCTCTCTGAGCCTTAGTTTGCCCAGCTGAAACATGGGGTTAATGCAAGGACGTACTGTAACCTTCATAGGTTCAACACTCAAGGCCCGCAGCAAGTCAAGACACCAAGACATGGGGTTGCAGCAGAGAATGAGGTTTAATTGTAGGGTCACTGAACAAGGGGATGGGAAGAAACCTCAAATCCATCTCCCAGAGGAGTTTGAGGCTGGCGTTTTTAAGGGTTTTGGAGTGGGCTGAAGTATGGAGATGGTTGATTAGTGGAAGAGTGCAGGGCAAAGTCATGGGGCAGGAAGAGGAAGCAGCTGTATTCTCACACTGATCCCGTTCCTCTGTGAGCATTGCTGGAATTCCAGGTCTGAAAAATACCTTAAGCAATCCTTAAACAAAACCCTTATGATTCTAACATCAGAGATCCCATCTACAAGAACAACAGGAATACAAGTCAATTCTTAAACCATCTATGAATCCGATTTATAGAAACAGTGTGGACGCAATGGTCAGTATCTAGTGCTACGTGACTTTTTGCAACAAGGAAATGGGCCAAGTGCAGCCAGATTAATGCTTAATTATCACTATATTTCTGTCCAGAACCCAGCATGTCCTTCTTGTCAACCCAGTGGGGACGGTTTTATTACTTCGTAGGCAGTGAGTGTTATCTGCTATTAATAGCGTATGATCTTGGGCGGGACTGAGAAAGGGTGGAGGAAGGAGATAGCTGAGGCTGGGGGAGGTGGGAGAGAAGTCTCCAATGAGCCCCAAGTTGAGCCCCTTTCTCCCTCCTCATTCCTCCCCTCTCTCCCCCAGTCACAGCCATAGGAGCTGACTTAAGAGGTAGATACTGGGTCCCAGAGACCGTAAGGGACTTGGCCAAGATGGCACAGTAAGCCGGTGGCACAGCCAGGGATCCCAAATACCCATGTATCCTATAATCCCCCAACTCCCAGCCTGACCTGGCTGCCCTCTGGGGTGGGCGCCCGCTCAGTGCCCCGGGAGCGTTATCGTCTGTGGACAAGAGTCACAAGGGCAAATCAGTAACAATTTGATTATGCGAAGGACTCCAGGCTGGCTGGCGCCCCTTCCCACGGCAGATGGCCAGGCTGCCCCTCGGACACAAGCCAGTGAGGTCCTGGAGCAGGGAGCACTGGCTGGGCTCAGCTGGGACAGGAAATCCCAAACCAAGTAAGCAACATGTGCATATGAGCTCTCACTCTAAGGACGGTGATAGCAGTAATAAGACAGTCACACACATGTGAGCGCGACAGCATCTGCTGGCTTTTATTCTATACCAGGACCTACGCTAAGCATTCTACACCATCTAGGTGTTATAACAACCCCATCAGCAGCGACGATGAGGAAACTGAGGCCGAGAGACTCGAGGTCACTAGTTCACGTAGCCCCAGAGCTGTGAAACAAAGGTTTGTGCCTAAGTCTGCCTGAAACCCAAGACTCTCAGTGTAACTCGGGGCAGCACCCAAGCCTCAGTCCTTGGCCAGTGCCTTACTTCTTCTTCACCATGGCTCTGGGAGGTCCCTTAGGTGCCCTGTTTGCAGGTGAGAACCTGCACAGTCCCACAGAGAGGTGGAGAAGGAGCTGGGATTCAGGCATAGGTTGCTCTGAGTCTCATTGTTATGCGCCCCCCGTCTGGCTTTTTTTTTTTTTTTTTTGAGACCTAGTCTCGCTCTGCCATCCAGGCTGGAGTGCGGCAGCGCGATCTCGGCTCACTGCAACCTCCACCTCCTGGGTTCAAGCAATTCTCCTGCCTCAGCCTCCCAAGTAGCTGGGATTACAGGCATCCACCACCATGCCCAGCTGAATTTTTTAATTTTTAGTGGAGACGGGGTTTCACCGTGTTGGCCAGGCTGGTCTCGAACTCCTGACCTCAGGTGATCCGCCTGCCTTGGCCTCCCAAAGTACTGGAATTACAGTTGTGAGCCACTGTGCCTGGCTTCCCATCTGACTCTTTCTGGAGCCTCAGACCCCACCTTGTTCCATCCCACCTTGCCAACCTCCACCCACCCCACCAGCATCCTACCCTGTGGCCTCCTGGTCACCTAGGAGAGCTGCCTGGGTGTAACTTTCACCATTCCTCCAAATGGCACTTCGGGTGGCCACTCTTCGGGCCCAAGAAGTCTGGGGAACCAGCCACAAGCCCCTGCATGGCCCCCCCACTTGCTGAAGGTCACCCTGGTACTCACACTCAGCCTAGGTTGGGGGCCAGGCCTGCCAAGGTGCCCTAAGTAGTAATTGAAATATTAGCTCTGTGAACATGTCAGTGGCTCTGTGCTGAGAGGCAGCTCCTTTGGCTGTGAGGCAGGGCCCTCTCCTTTCCCCTGAGGGCCACATGGAGAGATCTGAGAAGCACTGGGACCTGGGCCAGCCAGAGGATCTGGGTTGGACCCTGCATCACTGTGCAGCCTTGATTAAGTCCTTTCCCTTCTCTGGGCCTTTGTATTATAAAATGGATACATCCATCCTTCCCGCCTCATCCCATGACTGAAATTAGCCTGGGGCCTGGCATACAGTACGTGCTAACTAAATGCTTGATGGGATTCACTAGAACAATATTTTCCAAGGTGAGATAGCTGTTCTACCTGCCCAGCATCATGTGAGGTGCTTGTTACAAACGCAAACTCCTGGGCCCCACCCGGAACAGCAGGTTCTGGGGCCTTGGAGTCTGCATTTGTGACAAACGCTCCCAGTGACCCCAGCTGGCACTGCCCAGCACCCCTGCTTCCTGCTGAGGTAGGAGGAGCAGCTTAGGCTTTGGGGCAGGCAGCTGAGCCTCAATTTGCTTACACATCAGTGAGAACAGAAATATTCACCTCTTGGGGCTTTGAGGAGGCATGAATGAGATATCAGGCATGACCCATAATAAGTACCCAGAAAATAGGTCGGGGGCAGTGGCTCAAGCTTGTAATCCCAGCACTTTGGGAGGCTAAGGCGGGCAGATCTGTTGAGGTCAGGAGCTCGAGACCAGCCTGGCCAACATGGTGAAACCCTGTCTCTACTAAAAATACAAAAATTAGCTGGGCATGGTGGTGGGCACTTGTAATCCCAGCTATTCAGGAGGATGAGCCGAGATTGTGCCACTGCACTCCAGCCTGGGCGACAGAGTGAGAGTCTGTCTAAAAAAAAAAAAAAGTACCCAGGAAATGATATTCCCCCTTCCACCCACCCATGCCCCTTTGGTGGAGGACCAAGCATCAGCATACACCCCCAAAGTGGGGACAAGTGGCTATCCTGCCCCTCAGGAGCCTCGTCAGCAGGGCCCGCTCCAAATGGATCTTTTCCCCCCATTTTTGCAGACAACATCAGCATCTCTTGGGGCGGGCCAAGAAAATGCCAGCGTCAGCACACCACATGCCCCAGCCAGACACCGCTGCTCTTTATTAATTAACCGCCAGATGTTAGTTTTGCATCTTTTATCAGAGGGAGGTTTGTCATCGGGACCTTGTATGTCAGGCCATTAGGGAGAGTCAGGAAAACATCCCTGGGGGGACCCTGGAGTTGGCAGGCAGCCGGGAAGGAGGACATGAAGCCAGGTGTCCGGCCCTCTCCCATGTGAGCCACACAGCCCCCAGCCCAGTGCACGCCTCTGCCCCAGCCGCCCCAGCCCCCAGTGCCTCCCTGGCAGTGGCTAGAGCAGCCAGCCATCTGGTCCTTCAAGAAAGGTCCCTGAGGAGGCTACTCGGGCACCAGTTCACTGGGGCCACCTTGGGAAGCAAAATAGCCCCAGCCCTGCTCTCCAGAGCTCACAGTCACAATGGAGAGAGCCACAATCCAGTAAACCCACATCAATAACATGATGACAAATTGTGATCTGTGTCATGAAGGAAACTGACAAGCTTCAGAGAGAGGGCAAACAGCAGGCCGGGGACCTAATTTAGATGAAGCGGTTCCCCTGGGGAGGTGACATTTAAGTGGAGTCGTGAAAAAGGAGCCAGGGGCAGAAGGTTCCAGGCAGAGGACACAGCAAGGACAAAGGCCCTGGGGCAGGAGCGAGCTTGGCACACTTAAGGAACTGAAGAAAGATCCGCAAGGCTGGAGCGTGGTAAAGGGGGCAGCCACCAGGCTGGCAGGGTTAGCTGGGCCCAGACCAGGGGTCCTCAGGGGACATGCGGAGGAGCATGAAATTCTTGTCCGGAGGGCACTGAGGAGCCACAACAGGCTTTGGAGCAGGGGAGCGATGTAGTGAAGGGATTTTCACGTTAGGAAGGTCCCTCTCTCTGCAGAGCAAGGAACAGATTGGCTGTGATATGGTCAATTGCAAAGGACAGCAGGACCCAAACAATGGCTTCATCAGGACACAGCATGTTCCGGGCGCTTCCTGGGTGCCAGGCAGGATTCACACTTCAAAGTTTAGGTGGCAGAAATGGCAAGTCTTATTCCTCCATCAGATGTGGGGTGTGAGGAAGAGTAAAGCACCTAGAGGGTTCCGAGTTCCTTGCTGCAGCCACCCCTGAGTCTTTTCATGCTCCCAACACCCTCCAAGACTGGAATCATGGGTTGTCTGCACTTTACAGATGAAGAAATGGAGGCCCAGAGACATGCAAGAGTGTGCTCAAGGTCACACTGCTAAGAGCAGCAGGTCTTGCATTTGAACCAGGTCTGCCTGCCACCGTCTTTACTGTGAACAGCTGTCCAAGCTCAGGCAGGTGGCAGGTAACAGCTCACCTTTACCCTGCTGCTTTGCGATGCCTGTTTCAACCTCTCCCAGTGACACAGCAAAGGCCACTGGGCAGAGCAGAGAGAGGGGTCTGCCTCGCTATCTGACCTGACCAGGCAGGGGTCAGTAAGTCCCAGCTCCGGGCTGTCCCAGCCCAAAGGTCAGCATCATCTCCCTGCAAATAGATATGGCCCCATTACTCTGGGTTATTATTTTCCACCTGATCCATGCACCATAGGATAAACAGGTGATTACTTCTCCCCTCAGTTCAGTTTCTGATTTGCATATAATAAATATCACCCCCAGGAAGTGTGTACGTGTTGTGTGTGTGTGCATGCGTGCACACACACACATACGTCGGGGGTTGGAAAACAGAGCTCATGTCTTATTTATGAGGAATAAACAGGAGCACAAGCTCACATAATCAACACATATTTAATCTGGCTCTTATTCACCCTTTTGACTCTAATGAGGCCGGGTCTGTGAGTGGCTGTGTGTGTGTGTGTGTGTGTGTGTATCTTTGTGTGTGCATCTGTGTATGTGTGTGTGCACAGGCTACAGAGGGATGCCCCTGCCAGAATCTTTAGTCCACCCTGGTCAGGGCTGATGGTTGGGGCATAGATGGCTGAAGACATCACCTGACCCTAGGGGTTCACTCTGGGGGTTCCTCAAGAGGTAGTTGGGGGAATCCAGACTTAAGATCTGGAAGGAGGGTATTTGCTCCCTCCAACAAGTTCACAGCGCAATTTTTTAAAATATTGCCATAATGTGTCTGAGCTATCCAAAATACTTGCAACCAGCAATATAAATTGTGCAGCATTAGCCACAGTTCTGTTTGCAGTGACATGTAATATCACATATTTTCAGCAAGATAGAAAAGCAAAAGTGAAAAAAAAAAAAAAGCCAAGCAGAATCAAGGTCACGTGCTCATGCACACCAGAGCCAAGACTTGAACTTGGGACTCAGGCTTCACAGCCCAAGTTAGTGCTACCTCATCATGCTGGCTTCCTGATCATGAGGAGAAAGAAAAACAACAGGAGAACCCATCAGTGTGCCCACCTGCTATTCTTCAGCTCCTGTTCCAATGAGAGAGAAACTGAGACCAGAAAAGTGAAGGGATTCGCCTATGGTCATGCACAAAACCATGCAAAGCTTTAATTCAAATCCAAGTCTTACTCTTTCGTTACAGTCACTATTTTGTGGACTGGGAATTCAGTCAGGGCACAGCAGGGACAGCTTGTATTTGCTCCATGATGACTGGGCCTTCATTTGGGGTGGCTTGGATGACTAGAAATGTGTCCCAGTTCTGCCGGGCATGGTGGCTGTCACCTGTAATCCCAGCACTTTGGGAGACTAAGATAGGCAGATGGCTTGAGTCTAGGAGTTCAAGACCAGCCTGGCCAACATGGCAAAACTCTGTCTCTGCAAAATATACAAAAGTTAGACAGGCATGGTAGTACACACCTGTAGTCCCAGCTACTTGGGAGGCTGAGGGAGAAGGATCATTTGAGCTTGGGAGGTCGAGGCTGCAGTGCGCCGTGATTGCACCACTGCACTCCGGCCTGGGTGACAGCAAGAACCGGTCAAAAAAAAAAAAAGAAAGAAAAGAAAAAAATGTTCCAGTCAAATGGTTTTTCTTGATTTTTCTCCAAGTTGAATATGCTGGGGCTGAAATGCCCACAGTGGCTCTTTCACTCACATATCTGACTCCCGGAATCAATGGCTGGGACATCTAGAGCTGGCTGAACACGTCCCTCCTCTCCACCCAGCCTCTCCACTTAGCCAGCTTTGGACTTCCTCACAATATGGCGGTCTCAGAGTAGTTAGACTTCTTACGTGGCAGCAGGCGTCCACCAGAGAAAACATTCTGAAATCATGGATGTGTTTTCTATTTTGGTATGCTTGTTTATTTCTATGAATACATTGTTTTTGTAAAGACACAAATGATGAGTGTGTGGTGTAAAAATTCAAACAGTAGGTCAGGCTCAGTGGCTCACACCTGTAATCCCAGCACTTTGGGAGGCCAAGTGGGGTGGATCACCTGAGGTCAGGAGTTTGAGACCAGCCTGGCCAACATGGTGAAACCCCGTCTCTACTAAAAATACAGAAAATTAGGTGGATGTGGTCACAGGCACCTGTAATCCAGCTACTTGGGAGCCTGAGGCAGAAGAATCTCTTGAACCCATGAGGTGGAGGTTACAGTGAGCCAAAACTGCACCATTGGACTCCAGCCTGGATGACAAGAGCAAGACTCTGCCTCAAGAAAAAAAAAATCAAACAATATGGAAAGTATAAAGATTAGAGCCAAAAAAAAAAATCAGAATTCTACCACCTAGAAATGAACGTTTGGTGAACTTCAATCAAGGAATTCTTCTGCAACCAAATTGAAAATCAAAGGGTGAATGGATGAATGAGTGACAGGCAAAAGGACGAATGGGTAAGTATATGAGTGGTGACTGAGTTGATGGAGAGAAAAAAAAGAAAATTTGGGAGGCCAAGGCAGGCGGATCACTTGAGGTCAGGAGTTCGAGACCATCCTGGACAACATGGCAAAACCCCGTCTCCACTAAAAATACAAAAAAAATTAGCTGAGCATCGTGGGAGCTTGCCTGTAATCCCAGCTACTCAGGAGGCTGAGGCAGGAGAATCCCTTGAACCCGCGAGCAGAGGTTACAGTGAGCTGAGATGGTGCCACTGCACTCCAGCCTCGGCAATAGAGTGAGATTCCATCTCAAAAAAAAAAAAAAACAAACAAACAAAACTGTGACTGTTGAGGATTCTAAGAGTTGAGGAAAGAGACAGCTAAGGTTCTGTGGATGTTGGAAAGGTGGTGTTAAGAGACCTGGCTCTCCAGACCTTCGCCCTAGCCACTCAGCAGCCATGACTGAAGCTCATCTTCTGCAGAGTCCAGTTCCCATAGAAATAGAGCATTCTAAAAATAGACCACTTCCCTCCAGTGAATCATCTAAGAGGAGATGGTCTCTAGCACGGGGGAAGGGGGCCCCCACCACACAGAGCCAGGATGGTTTACCCTCGACCGTGCCTCCACGCTAGTTACCTGCCTGAATCCTCCTTCAACTCAATCCGCCTTCAACTCAAACTCTCATCCTTCCCCGCCCTTGAGTGGCTCCTGCCACCTACAAGGTGGAGTCCAAACTATTACTACCATTCCTACCACCTCTACTACTATTACCACCATTCCTACCACCACTATTACTATTGCTACCATTCCTACCACCACTGTTACCATTACCACCATTCCTACCACCATTATTACTATTACCATCATTTCTACCACTACCATTCCTATCACCACTATTACTACCACCACTATTACTATTACCACCATTCCTACCACTATTACTATTACCACCATTCCTACCACCACTATTACTATTAATTATCACCATTCCTATTACCCCTCTTACTATTACTACCATTCCTACTGCCATTATAACTACCACCATTATTACTATTACCACCATTCCTACCACTATTACTATTACCACCATTCCTACCACCACTATTACCATTACCACCATTCCTACCACCACTATTGCTATTACCACCATTCCTACCACCACTATGACTATTACCACCATTCCTACTGCCACTATGACTATTACCACCATTTCTACCACTACCATTCCTGCCGCCACTATTACTACCACCATTATTACTATTACTACCATTCCTAACACCACTATTACTATTACCACCATTCCTACCACTATTACTATTACCACCATTCCTACCACCCCATTACTATTACCACCATTCCTAACACCACTATTACCACCATTCCTAACACCACTATTACTATTACTACCATTCCTACCACTACCATTCCTACCACCACTATTACCATTACCACCATTCCTACCACCACTATTGCTATTACCACCATTCCTACCACCGCTATTACTATTACCACCATTCCTACCGCCACTATGACTATTACCACCATTCCTACCACCACTATGACTATTACCACCATTTCTACCACTACCATTCCTGCCGCCACTATTACTACCACCATTATTACTATTACTACCATTCCTAACACCACTATGACTATTACCACCATTCCTACCACCATTATTACTATTACCACCATTTCTACCACTACAATTCCTACCACCACTATTACTACCACCATTATTACTATTACCACCATTCCTACCACCCCATTACTACCACTATTGCTATTGCTCCCACAATGACCACTATTACTCCCATGATTGCTGTTACTACTACAATTACTATTACTGTCCCCACTATTACTATTATTACCACCATTATTGCTACCTTTACTGCCACCACTATTATTACTAATTACTACCACTATTACTATTATTACCATACTACCAATACCACTAATACTGTTGCTACCACCACTGTTACCACAATTACTACTGCCACTATTACTACCACTATTGCTATTGCTTCCCCAATTACAACAATTGCTTTCACAATTGCTGTTACTACTACAATTATTCCTACCACCACTATTCCTATTACCACCATTGCTACCACCACTATTACTACCACTCTTGCTATTGCTCCCACAATTACTACTATTACTCCCACAATTGCTGTTTCTACTACAGTTACTACTATTACTACCACCACTATTGCTACTTTACTGATTACTGCCACTATTACTACTATTGCCACTACTATCAATACCACTGTTACTATTGCTACCACTATCACTACTACTACTCATTTGCCTTCTCCTTTATTCTTCTGCAGTAATCTTTATTGTTATTTACAATTTTTTACTACAAAGGTAACACATAATTCACTATAGAAAAGTTAAGAAATTAGAGATAATTTGAGACCTTGTTGGGAGGTTCTAGCAGGGGAGTGCAGCTACTCGTATACCCTTGACTGAAGACTGCTCCTCCTCTATCAGGGATTGTTGTCCTCTTTGACCAAGTGTGCAGCTTCGGGAGGGACGCACATGGAGTGGTGAGGGAGGAAGGGGACACCTACCTAGCCAGCCAGATCAGCCTAATCAACCCTGGCGATCAATGGGTTGACAGACTTCACAGCCAGATTGCCCTCACATCCAGGAAATTAGAGATAATTTCAAAGAAGAAAGTAAAATTCACCCCCAAGTACCGCCATCCAGAGGTGTCAGCCACATTAGGTCCCCAGTCCTGAGTGGAGTCTCAGGCGCTCCATGGCCAGCTGCACGCCACCTTCACACCCCATTTCCTCTCTGACGGTGGGCTCCAGCTGGACTGAGTCTCTAATGTTCCCACAGGCACCTGCCCGCTGTCCCCTTGCCTCTGGGCCTTTGCCTATGCTGTTCCTTCTGCGTGGCATGGCCTTCCTCTTGGACTTCATCTGGCTACCCCCCCCGCCCTGACCTTGCCACACTCCCTAGGCTCTGAGCATAGACCAGGCCCCCTAGGGAGCCTTCTCTGAGGACCCACACCCCTTAAGCTGGGTCTGGGGCCCCTGATGGACCCCCACAGTCCCCAAGCATCCCCAGTTGAAGCCCATCTCACCCTGTGTGATAAGTCCCTGTGTCCCTGTCTGTCTCCCCCACTGTAGAAAGCAGGGGTCATGACTGGGCCACCTCTGTATGCCTGTCACAGGCCTGCCACAGAACAGGGGGGTCTATACATGCTCATTGAATGAATGAGTGAATGCCTCAGTCTGGAAGGGCTTCTTAGAAGAGGTGGCATTCAAGCCAAGGTCTCAAACGTGGGAAAGAAAGTAGTCCAGACATAGGGCCAGGCAGCTTTTCCTGCACCAAATGATGGCTCTTCTGCATTGACTTTGACCTGGGCTGTCACCTGGGCCCAGAGCGTTTGCAAACCCTCTAGGCTCCCAGCAGCATGTTTGAGGAAGCCAGGCAGCTCCTGCCCTGTCCATGCCACCACACAGACACCACCAGATGTGAAGTGCAGGGGACCTCTGTGTGCTAGTGATTTCTCATAACCGCCCGCCAACAGACAAGGTGAACAGTTCACATTTACGAATCCTTGTTAACAGTGCGGCAGGAGATATTTCACTTTAAGTGCCCCTTTCTACGGAAAAAGAGAAAAAAATGATAACAGAAAATGTAAGTTATCTCAGCATGGAGAGATGCTGAGAGCTCTGAGCCAGGCCTTCAAGGAGACAGAACAGAGGCTAGAACATGAGGAGGGGAGTCCCTTTCATGCCCCCCCACAAGCAGTCAGGCCCCAGGGGCATTCCCAAAGCAGAGATTGGCAGGAAAGCCAAACCTAGCAGGGGAGTAAGGTGGGCACAGCATAGAAGCTGGCTCCACATATCCAAACAGGCAAAGAGAAAAGTACAGGGCTGGTTACGGCAACCTTTAGAAAACAAAAAAAGAACAAAACTGGAAACAACCTAAGTATCCATCAATAGGGGACTGCTTAAGTATAAATTATAATATGGCCATTTGAATGGAGTACTATACATTGAGGAAAAAGAATACAGTTGTTCCATGTGGACCAATAGAGAAGCATGTGCATGAAATATGACTAAGTGGAACAAGCACATTATAGGACAATTTATAGCATGGTACCATTTATGTAAAAGGAAGCATGTATTTGCTTGATATGCACATAGAAGTATGTGGAGAGAGTTACACAAAAATCTATTCACACGGCTACTCTCTGGGGAGTGAGATGGCAGAACTGGGGATGGGGAACAACTTTTGACCTTTGTTTCATTTACTTTTGTGTTAGTTTTTACTGTGTACAGTATTACTTATTTTTATTCTTTTTGTTTGTTTTTATACTTTTTTTTTAAAGACAGGGTCTCACTCTGCCACCCAGGCTGGAGTGCAGTGACACCATCATAGCTCACTGCAGCCTCAACCTCCAGGACTCAAGCAATCCTCCAGCCTCAGCCTCCCAAGTAGTGGGAGCTCCAGGCACTTGCCACCATGCCCGGCTCATTTATTTATTTTTTGTAACAATGAAGCCTCACTATGTTGCCCAGGCTCAATATTACTTTTATAACTTAGAAGTTTAAATCTTTTAAAATGTTAACTTGAGAGGAGGGAGTGTTTTATTTTTTTCCTTTATATCCTTCTCTATTGTTTGAATTTTTTACAACCATTATGTCTATAAATATAAAAATATAATACAATTTTTTTTTGAGATGGAGTCTTGCTCTGTCACCCAAGCTGGAGCACAGTGGCACGATCTCGGCTCATTGCAACCTCTGCCTCCTGGGTTCAAGCGATTCTCCTGTCTCAGCCTCCTGAGTAGCTGGAATTACAGGCGCACGCCACCAAGCCCGGTTAATTTTTGTGGGTTTCACCATGTTGGCCAGGCTGATCTTGAACTTCTGACCTCAGGTGATCCACCTGCCTCAGCCTCCCAAAGTGCTGGGATTACAGGCGTGAGCCACTGCGCTCGGCCATATAATACAATTTCTTTTTTAACAAAAATATGTTGGCTTTGATGTCAAGCAGATCTCGTTCTTGTTCTCAACCTTTCCTTTACCACCTGGTTGGCTCAGCCTCTCTGAGTATCAATTTCCTCTGCAGCAATTTTGGATATTAACAGAATGTACAGGCCAGGTGCTGTGACTCATGCCTATTATCGCAGCACTTTGGGAGGCCAAGGTGGAAAGATCTCTTGAGGCCAGAAGTTCAAGACCAGCCTGGGCAACATAGTGAGCTCTCATCTCTACAAATAATAATAATAATAATAATAAAGAATTAGCCAGGCATGGTAGTGCATGCCTGTAGTCCTAGCTGCTTGGAAGGCTGAGGTGAGAGGATCACTTGAGCCCAGGAGTTCAAGGCTGCAGTGAGCTCTGATCACACCACTGCATTCCAGCCTAGGCAACTGAGAAAACTTCATTTCAAAAGGGAGAGAGAAAGAGAGAGAGAGAGAGAGAGAGAGAGAGAGAATGTATGGAGCAAGTGTGCATTGCAGTGAATGTCAGCTTTATCATTATGATTATTATACCCCATCAAGGGAGATGGCAAGCTCTTGTACACCATCCCAGTTGGTGAGTTAATGCCCATCCCTGTGACAGACTCTATAAAGCTACTTAAAATGTTGTAGACCAGTGGCTCACAAACTGTTTTTAGGAATGTAATTCAGTTACAAATGAAATCTTAGGGGGAAGCCCAGAATGTATAACACAGGAAGAAGATTGTGTCAGCATTTAAAGTGTGACACCCATACTGAGTGGATGTTTGCAGCCTTATGTTTGTCCTGTATCCTGTCCCCTTCTTTTGGTGACAATACCCTGGTCTTCCTTTTGGGGGAAATGTCCCTCCCCCAACTCTCAAGCCCCTCCACAGCATCAGAGGTGGGCGTGGACCTGATGCCTAAAGCATCCTCTGGACACAGGGAAAGAAAGGTTCAGGGACCAGAATGACCAGTTAGGGCCAGTCAGTCTTGTCACTTCCATGCAAAGTGTGAAGAGAGGGAAGGTCCTTTCCTTTTTTTTTTTTTTTTTTTTTTTGAGACAGAGTCTCCCTCTGTCACCTGGGCTGGAGTGCAGTGGCGCAATCTTGGCTTACTGCAACCTCTGCCTCCTGGGTTCAAGCGATTCTCCTGCCTCAGCCTCCCGAGTAGCTGGGACTACAGGTGTGTGCCACCACTCCCGGCTAATTTTTTTATTTGTTTAGTAGAGACAGGGTTTCACCATATTGGCCAGGCTGGTCTCGAACTCCTGACCTCATGATCTGCCCTCCTCGGCCTCCCAAAGTGCTGGGATTACAGATATGAGCCACCATGCCCGTCCAGGAAGGTCCTTTGCTTCCTGGATTTGAGCCTGGGATGGGGAAGGGGTAAGCCTAGAGCTGCCAGAGGCCATCCTCAGAGCCTACGAATGAGGCCAATGCTGGGAAAGGTGAACCAGGGAGACGGGGAAAAATGGGCCCTGGTGACAAGGAGGAAAGCCCCTGAATCGCACTGTGCCTGAAGCCAGCACTATCCTCTGGAGTTTTTTCTTGCAGGAGCCATTATGCTCTAGTCAGTTGGGTTTTCTGTCACTTGCAACCAAAGAAGAGCTAAATGATATAATACATTTATTCATAAAGCCAGTTAGGAAAAAACAATGAAGGTGCTTTGATAGACATTAACATTTGAAATCAGGAGTTAGGGATGACAGCTGCTCTCTTTTATCATCCTTGCATTCAATTTCTTCTTCTTTTTTTTAGTATTAACTTATTTTTTTATTTTAGTTTAGTTTTTCAATTGACACATAATAATTGTACATATCATGATGTTTCTATACATATAATGTATAGTGATCAGATATCAGGGTTATTAGCATATCCATCATCTGAAACATTTCTCATTTTACATGCAACTTATTTCTGTATTTGGTTTTGGTTGCCTGATGGTTCCACTATCAGGGAGATCTGGATTCACAGGTAAGAGGTTGCAAATTGTTTGTGGTTTAATGTAGGACTTGGGTGCCCAAACGCTGGAGCAAGACAGTCAGAGCTCAAATACACCCCAGCTGCGGAATCTGGGGCAAGCCACTTGACCTCTCTGAGTCTCAGTGTACTAGCACCCACCTCACAGGAGGGTTGGGAATAGGAGATGAGTGAATACATGATACACGTGAAAGCATTTAGACAGTGCCTGACACCCGGTTTGGGTGAACTCGTGTTCTTATTCTGCCACATTCTAACTCATCGGAGCACCTGTGTGCTGCCTCGGGCTGACAGGTTTACCGGAATAAAACTTCACCTGCTATGTCGGTTTCATTGGCAAACATCCTGAGATGGCAGGGCATGCTTTTATAAAACTTATTTGCCACTGCTTCTCTGTGATTTAGGATTTTCTGGATAGTGACCTCAGAGCCGTGCTGCAGGGACAAAGGAACCTCTAGAGACGTTTTAGGAAAGTGATTTTGAGCTCAACATGCAGAACATGTTCCAGTGCATGAAGCTGTCTAGAGTGGACCAGGCTGCCCTCCAGGTAAGAGCTTCCTTTGTCAAGAAAGTGTTCATAATTAGGCTGATTGTCGTGCCGTGAGCATCATAATAGGGATGCCAGCACCAGATGGAAGGAAGACTTCATTCACACATTCATTCATTCAACAAACGTTTACTGAGTTCATTTTTTGTTTTGTTAAGAGTCAAGGTCTCACTTACTCTGTCACCTGGGCTGGAGTGTAGTGATGCCTTCATAGGTCACTGCAGCCTCAATCTGCTGGGCTCAAGGGATCCTCCCAACAACAGGTGCATGCCACCACACCCAGCTAGTTTTTTTAATTTTTGTAGAGACAGTGTCTCACTTTATTGCCCAGGCTAGTCTTGAACTCCTGGCTTCAAGCTATCCTCCCACCTCGGCCCTGCAAAGTGCTGGATTACTGGATTACCATGCCCAGCCTCCAGAGTTCTTACAAGGAGGCAGGCACTAGGCTGAACGTCCCCTCTAACTCTCAGATTAGGTAATTTCACAAGTAATTTCTTGCAAAGGTAAGAAAGACTCAGCCGGGCGCAGTGGCTCATGCCTGTAATCCCGGCACTTTTGGAGGCCGAGGCAGGTGGATAACCTGAGCTCAGGAGTTCGAGACCAGCCTGGGCAACATGATGAAACCCTGTCTCTACCAAAAATACAAAAAAAAAAAAAATTAATAACAATTAGCTGGACAATGGTGGCATTTTAAAAATTAGCTGAGCCTGATGGCACATGCCTGTGGTCTCAGCTACTCAGGAGGCTGAGGCAGGAGGGTCACCTGAGCCCAGTTCAAGACCAGCCTGGGCAACATAGTGAGACCCTGTCTCTACAGAAATTTTAAAATTTAGCCTGGCATGGTGGTCCACACCTGTAGTCCCAGCTACTTGGGAGGCTGAGGTAGAAGGTTCTCTTGAGCCTGGGAGGCAGAAGTGGCAGTGAGCCAAGATCACGCCCCTGTACCCCAACCTGGGTGACAGAGTGAGACCCCGTCTCAAAAAAAAAAAAAATGAGAGAGAGAGAAAGATTCCTTCCACCAGCCTTCTGTGGGCTGTTTTCATTTTTAAAGAGGATCAAGCGTGCATGCTTCATGCTAAGGACTGGGTTTCTGATGGTGGCCCCTCAGACACCACTGCAGCTTACCTGGGAGTAGAGAGGAAAGGCAGCCCCACCTGCCTTGCTACACATCTTACCTGCTGGTGTGAACAGAACAAGGAAGAAAGACACACCCCCCAACACCTCCCACCAAGGTAGGGTTTCAGATCATAACAGCAGTATTAAAAGTGACCAGCTAAGCCGGGTGTGGTGGCTCACACCTGTAATCCCAGCACTTTGGGAGGCCCACGCGGGTGGATCACTTGAGGTCAGGAGTTCAAGACAAGCCCAACCAACATGGTGAAACCACCTATCTACTAAAAATACAAAAATTAGCCAGGCATGGTGGCGGCTGCCTGTAGTCCCAGCTACTCAGGAGGCTGAGACCGAGAATCGCATGAACCTGGAAGGTGGAGGTTGCAGTGAGCCGAGATTGCGCCACTGCACTGCAGCCTGAGCAACAGAGTGACACTCTGTCTCAAAAAAAAAAAAAAGTGACAAACTAAGCATGTAACACATGTGAGCTCATTTCATTTCAGCTGCCCTGGGTCGGGGAGAGGGGTCGGGTGGGAAGGTGGGGATAGGTAGGCAGTTTGGAAGCAGATCGCCCTCCCCTACTCACTCACCAACACCTTCCCTCCACGTATGCACAGCGGAAGACCTTAACCTCCTCTATCCCCAGGTGAACAAACAGGCAAGTTGGAGAGCAGACGGTGGTACCAGCAGCAGGAACAGCAGATCAATCAAATTGTCTTCACCAGAAAGCCTAGATCAGGTGCCCGGAAAGAAAGCATCCGTCAAGGGGTAGAACATTGGCCTTCAAGGAGCGTCCAGTAGGCCCTGGAAGGTCCTAGCTCCATGGAACAGAACATCTCTATCTGTTGAGCATTTTCTGTGTGTCTGATAGTAATGACAATAATAGCTGGCATGTATTCAGTCCATGCCTGGTTTAAGCCTCATAGAACTTCTGTAAGGCGATTGAGGTGACCCTCTTTTTATTTCAGATAAGAAACCTGGGGCTCAGAGAGGCAGAATGTCTCTTCCAATTAGCAGGCCTGCCTGGCTTCAAAGCTCCTGCCCTCCCTACTCTGCTACCCAGCATTCTGTGACTCCCATAATCCTCCCAAAACCTCCAAGGGTGCTTTTATGCCCACTTCACAGGTGCAGAAACAGAGGTCCAGAGAGGCAAAGTCACTTGCCCAAAGACCCACAAGAGCTGAGCTGGCCCTCAGCCCGGTTCCATCTGATCTCCAGTCCTGGGGCTTCCCCTCACCTGTGGCCTCCCTGAGCAAGAACCTGAAGGAGACAGAGTGTGGTACACAGGCTCATTTCTGGTTCAGGGGACAGTGTGTGCGGTAGCAGGAGAAGCCTCCAGGCCCATCGTAGAAAGGCATAGCCCCCCGCCTCTCTTTCTCTGCAGCCTGGGGAAAATCTCACTTCCTATAGGGGCTGCTGCTCTAGCCAATTAATCTCCACATTTCTCCTTCTAAATGTAAATGGCAGGTGAGTGGGATGTTATGGGTTTTGGAAAAATAAAAAGCAACACAAAAGTAATTTGTGTTCAATTTGCGTGCAGCTCTTGACAAAAGCCCCAAAGAGACAAGGACTCCCCAGCCCTAAGTTCCATTCTGGGCCTCCACCTTGGAGGGTGGGGAGGGCTCAGTGAGGAATGAACGGGTTCTTCACATCTCACGACTTCTGGGAAGGACAGCCTCCCCCGCCCAGCGCCCCACCCTCCTTCTCCTCCCCTCACCTCTCCTTTGTCTCTCTCCCTCCCTAACCTCTCCTCCCTTTCCCAGCTCTCTGCTTCTCTCTCTCCCCAACCCCCAGAACTCCGCTGGTGCACTGCACCGAGAGGCAATTTATAAAGCAGATGTTTACTGCAAGGTTTTACATGAGCTTGGTGCCTCGCCAAACGTTATAGTAATTGGAGGCTGCGTTTAATTACTGATCAACGTAAAGTTAGGAAGAGACAGGCTTGGAAAATGCCTCTGGTCTAGACTTTCCTCTCTGCCTCCAAGAAGGCAAGAGCTCCTGAGCCGAGGCCTGAGTAGCAGCAAGAATTAGTAAAACAGGCTTGCGAGTAGCTACTGGCCCACTGGGCTCTAGGAAATGGCACTGGGGAGAAGAGACCAGATTTTGCTATAACCATTCCTCTTCTTGCTAGTTCATTATTGATGCCTTCTTTGTGCCAGAACTGTGTTGGGCACTGGGGTCACAGGGATTAATGAATTTCTCCCAATGCCTGGGCCAGGTGATTTACATACATTATTGTTCAACATAAGACAGGTATGCTAGCCAGGCTCTAAGTCCAGAAGTGATAGCTTGTGACTTCCAAGGCTAAGTCATTACAGACACCGCAGCCTCTGTCTTGTTCTCTTAGATCATTTGCTCCAGGGGAAGCCAGCCACCATATCATGAGGACACTCAGGCAGCCCTGTGGGGAGATCCACGTGGGGATGAACTGAGGAGCCACCTTGAGGATTGGATCCCCCAGCTCAGTCAAGCCTTCAGATGGCTGCAGTCCTGGCCGACATCATAACTGCAACTTCACGAGGGATACCAAACAAAAGCCATCCAGCTATGCCACTCCCAGGTTCCTGACTCACAGAAACTATGAATGCTAAATATTTATTGTGTTAACTCACTGCATTTTAGAATAATAGGTAACTAATACAATAGCCATGGAAAAGAAGGAAATACAAGGAAGCCTGATAAGTAGGAAACACAAATAAATATGGCAAGAAAGAGTCCAGCCATATAGTTATGTAATTATTTAATAGATATATACATATAAAAGATAGATTGAGGCAAGGTGCAGTGGCTCATACCTGTAATCCCGACAGTTTGACAGGCCAAGGCAAGAGGATCAGTTGAGGCCAGGAGTTCAAGACCAGCCTGGGCAATATAGCAAGACCCCATCTCTACTAAAAATAAATTGTTAAAAAAGATAGATAGATAGAGATAAATATGGTCATAGATATATATGAATGTAGATATGGATACAGATATTTTGATATATTGATATATATTTTATATATGATATTATAACAATATAATCACAATAAATGTGAATGAGTTAAATTCATCAATTAAAAAATATTATTTCATTCTTTCCTCACAATAACCCCAGGAGATAAACATTATTATATCCACTTTACAGGTGAAAAAATTGAGGCTCAGAATGGGAAAGAAACTTGCCCAAGGTCTCCGAACTCAAAAATGGTAAGGTTGTGATTCAAACCCGGGTCCTTCTGAATACAAAGCCCGGAGACTCTAATACCACACTGTCTTGCTATTTCCTTGTGATAGAAGAGGAAACTGAGACTCAGAAAGGGTGAGTGACTTGCTTAGGGTCACATCTCAAGGCATTGCAAAGCTGGAGTCAGAGCCAGGCACCTCACTCATTGTCTGGTGTCTGCCCAGTGACCTTTGGAGCTCTGCCATCAATGCACAAGCATCTCAGGGGTCTTCTGTCTTTGTAGCTGTTTAAGATGGCTGGGGACCCTTGACTGTGGTCAGAGAGATGCTGTAGAGTCAGATGGTGGGGCCTCCTCAGGGGAGGACACCAGCACAAAGCAACGTGCAGGAGTGCAGGGTGGGGGTGGCTCGATGCATTGAGCTGAACTCCGGTAATTACATCAAGGCCAGAAGCATAATTTGTATCTGGGTGATGAATGTCTGTGTTTTCGGGCCTGATTGCCCTATTTACATTTGGAATTTGCTGATCTATTATTAATGTTTCCTGGAGGCCAGGGTGACGGGTATGTGCAGCTGGGGAGCCACCTTCCCCCCGATCCAGGGAATATTAGTTCTTAGGCTCTAGCTACTCCAAGCACCATTTACCTGCTCCTTGTGTAACCCTGACCTTCATGGGGCTCTCTTGGACCAAATGGCATGGGGCTACCTGAGATGAGATTTCCCAACCTCTTACAGACCTGTGCATGCACACTCAGATGTACGTATGTGGCAGGCACGGTAATTGCATACTCACACACTCACACCTATGTATATACATACCTACCTCCTTATCTACCCTTACGCACCCTCACACAAACATGCACCTACATGAAATGCATATGCATGTGCATGCAAACTCATGTGTACATGTGCACACACATACAGCATGCACACACACCATCACATGCACCGACCATGTTGAGAACAACACAGCAGCTTGCCATGGTCTCCCAGCCAGAGTGGTGATGGTCAAGTCCATGAACCATGGGCCCAGATGGTTAGCATTTGAATCCCAACTCTGCCACTTACCAGCTGTGTGATCTTAAGCAAGTTACTTCACCTCTTTGTGCTCTGTTTCCCTCTATGTAAAATGAGGATGATAACCTTATTCATCTCATAAGATTGTTGTGAGGAAGTAGTGAGCTAATGAAACACCCTTGCCTAATGCGTGGTAAGCACTGGATATGTATTTGCAATGTCGTTATTAATTTTATTGCTTATGTTCCTGAAACATAGTAGACTCTGAGTCATTTTGTTGAAGGGATGGTTAAACACACCCTTCCAAGTTCAGGTACACAGTCCCACTGTCCCTTCCCCAACATTTCTGCTTCTTCATTTCTTCAACCCCTCCTGAGGTCAAGCTCCACAGCCTCTTCTGAAGCCCCTCCTGTCTGTTCACCCCTCTGTGTCTACCTCAAGGCTTCAGACCAGACGGAACTATAGAAAGAGCACTGGAGTTGGAGTCCCCAGACTAAGAATCAGACCATGGCTCTGCCACTTGCCAGCAGCATGACCCTGGCCCTGCAGTTCTAAGACTCAGTTTCATGATCTAGGCCATGGGGTAATGATAGAAATTACCTTAAGAAACAACCACCAATGGATGGCTACTGGTGGAGGGATGGATAGGCAGTGTAGGGATGAGCATGTATATTCCCTGGCCAGGCTGGGCCCTGCTGGGGGCTGTTTGTGGAGGGGAGTGACTACACTGTCATGCAAATGAGTATGCAAATTATATGCTCACATGTGCATGGGCACCCACATCCTTATAGGGGCACCTTCACACAGACATGTGCCTACAAGGGAATGCATGTGTGAATATGCAAACACACATGATGCAGCCACACCGGAAGTGCCAGGACTTGGAGGAGATGGTGCTATGTGACCTTGCCTGAGTCTCCATACCTCTCTGAGCCTCCATTTTCTTTGTTTGTTAAATACGATGAGCTGCACCTGGCCCATGTTTAATTGTGTTGAGGACTGAATAGACAATGACCGGTAATTCTGATCATGGTGCTTAGTATACAGTAAGCACTTAATACGTGGCAGCTATGATGAGCTTCTTCATTTGCGAAGTCTCAGGCTGGAAGGAGTGCTCTCTGAGACCCCCACCAACTCCAAGGTCCTGTGAGTCTGTGGTTTTCGTCCCCCAATCCCTTAGAGTTTGTCAGCCATCTAGACTGGAGGGCCCTTGTGTAGTTTCCAGAAACTGGCTCCCAAAAGTTGATTCTGCCATTCTTTTCCTATGCTGGAATCTCTGGCCTGTGGCAACTCTAAGAGTTATGCTGGTGGACCCAGTGACAGATGAGGAAACTGAGGCCCTGGGTGAGGCAAGAGTCACCAAGGCCAGCCCAGAGCTGGAGGTGGGACGGACATTGGAACCTAGACTACTGGTTACCCCGGGCTGGGCTTCTGCAGGCAGCACTTTTTTTTTTTTGAGACAGAGTCTCACTCTGTCACCCACGCTGGAGTGCAGTGGCGCGATCTCGGCTCACTGCATCCTCTGCCTCCTGGGTTCAAGCGATTCTCCTGCCTCAGCCTCCTGAGTAGCTGGAACTACAGGTGCATGCGACCACGCCCAGCTTTTTTTTTTTTTTTTTTTTTTTTTTGTATTTTTAGTAGAGATGGGGTTTCACCATGTTGGCCAAGATGGTCTTAATCTCCTGACCTCAGGTGATCCACCTGCCTCAGCTTCCCAAAGTGCTGGGATTACAAGCACAAGCCACTGCACCTGGCCTGCAGCCAGCATTTTTGCAGCCTTCTCTGTGCAGAGAAGAAGCTGGGCGTGTTGGCTTAGTCTGAGTGTCCTACTTCAAGATGTGACCCATCTCAGGGTCACCAAGCCCTAAGCAGTGCTCCCCACCACACACACAGACACAAATCAAATACATTGTACGTGAAGACCCCATAACAGGAATAGGCACTACCCTGTGTTGAGTACTCACTACATAGAAGCACTTCCCACCTGTTTCATCTCATCCTCATGTGTAGGAACCTGAGGCAAGGAACGCGTTCAAGGACACACAGGTCAGAAATAACAGAGTTGGAACTTGAACCTGGGTCCTCTTGACTCCAGAGTCTCTGCCTTTAACTTTGATGCTCCAATGTCTCCCCAGTGAAGTCAAGCAGAGAAAATGGGTTTGCAAACTGCAACAGGCAGGGCCGACCTGGGATCAGAGGCCTTGATTGCTCCTGGGTTTGGGGGGTGGGGGAGTAGGAAGAGGTGCCTGGCCTAGAGGCTGCAGTAGCAAGAACCACCCACTGCGCCCTCCAGAAAGGGGCCCCCGTTTTCTTGTGATGCCAGGGAAGGTCGGGCAGTGAGCACATTAAATAAGGCCATAAATTTGTCATGAAGACTGGAAATGAACAGGGCTTATCATTTATGGATGGAATAATTAAGCCACTGCTTTTGGTGGCTTTGCCGAGGGCTGTGCCTGGACTCCAGGCATCGCCAGCAACCAAGTCAGGGACCCCTTGGGGGATTTCACTGTCATCCCCCGAAACCCCAGCATCTCACACCAGACACTGAGGAGACTCCACCAGCGGCCAGAACAGCCACCTACTCAGTCAGTACAGACCTCCCGGGCTGCATGAGGTCATAAAAACCCTGACCAATCCCAGGGAGACCCCTCTCTCAAACTCTGCCCATGGAGGGGTTGCCCACCTCCTTAGATAGACGTGGTGGACCTGGCTTCCTAGAACAAAAAGAGGCCCCTGGTATGGTAGAAAGTGTGAAGCATTTAGACCACCCTGGGTTCAAATCTTGGCTCTCTCATGCTCCAGCTGTGTGCCTCTGGGCCAGTCACTTCACCTCTCTGAGCCACCTCTCAAAAATGGGCAAAATAGACCAGGCACAGTGGCCCATGCATGTAATCATTGTATTTGGGGAGGAGGTAGGATTGCTCTAGGCCAAGCGTTTGAGTCCAACCTGGACAACACAGTGAGACTTCATCTCTACAAAAAACATTTAAAAAGTAGCCGGTGTGGTGGTGCACACCTATAGTCCCAGCTACTCTGGAGGCTGAGGCAGTAGGATTGCTTGAGCCCAGGAGTTCCAGGTTACAGTGAGCTATGATTGCACCGCTGCACTCCAGCCTGGCAGACAGAGTGAGACCCTGTCTCTGAAAAAAAAAAAAAAAAAAAAAAAAAAAAAAGAGGCAAAATAGTGTTTAGTGTTGTATGAGTTATGTGGAGGATCGAGTTAAATCATAGCTATGAAGTGCCTAGTGAGGATCAGGCATCTTGTAAGTGCTCTACAAATCCAGCATGTCATTTCTTTCACCCAACAGAGTTCTCAGGCAGGACTAGAAGGCTCAGAGAGGCAAGGAGACTCAAATGAGGAAACACAGCAAGTGAGCAAAAAGTGGTGCCTACTTCCTTCCCCTGGAGTTCCCTGTCATCTATCATGCATGGTAGAGGGCTCAGCTCATTCCCCAAGAAAAGACTGAGTTCCAGTCCCCTCCCTGCTCCCAGCTACGGCAGGTCCGTGGAGGAGAAAGGGAGGTCATTGTACAGGTGATTGTAGCCACTAATATTTCCAGAGCTCTTGCAGTGGGGTAAGAGCTATCCTAGGTGCTCTGCACTTGTGATTTCATTTTATTCTCCAAACAACACTTTGAAGTGGGAACCATTATCATCCCCATTTTAGAGGTGAAGAAATGGAACTCACACCCAGATCCTTGACCTGAGTCACTTAGCCAAGATGTGGAATTTGTGTGTGATTTCCTGGGTCCCAGCAATGTCAGGCTTGGGGGAGCATAGCAAATTAAGACTATTTGGATTCTGCCGGCACATTCCAGATTTCCAGCTTTGCTATTCCATGTTCTTGAGTGGGTTCAAGCCCTTTTTTTACAGATTGGGAGACTGAGGTCCAGCCATTGAGGCAGAGCCTTAGAGCTTGCCCACTAGTTCTCCAGGGCCTGTCCCATCAGTGGCAGACACCAAGGCTGATGCAATCAGAGAGGCCTCTGCCACCTGCCTTGGGGAAAGGTCTGGACCCTCCTTGCATCCCCACCCCACCCACTCTCCATCACTATGGCAACCATGCAGGTGAGCCTCATCACTGCTAATCCTCTAATTACCAGCCACCTCTTCAATCGGCTGTAATTACTTTGGGGACACAGTTAACCTCTCATTAGGAACGCACGGCCGCTTTCTCCAAAAGCACAGCAGTGACATGCCTAGTAATTTACCGCCCCGGCTCGCAGGGCCGCTTTGTATTTAACTCGGGCGCCATTGCATCCCTGTCATTACTCCAGCCCGGTTGTCATGACGATTAATCATTCAATCCCTCATCAGCAACTTTTGCCAAATGTCACCCTGCTCTTGATCAAAATCCATCCTGCAGCCCGACACTGGGGGACTAATGACTTGGAAATAGGCTTCCCCATTCCTGAGAGCTTTTCCCCAAGACTCCTTTTCAGCTCCTTCCAGGAAAGGGAAAGAAAAATGTGAGCTCAGTGTGAAGGGGGGTGAAGGGGGTGGTGAGGGTGGCAGAAAAATTAGCAGGTGTTGAGTGCTTACTCTGTGCTAGGCACCTGAGGGACATCCATGCACCCAACCCTAATGGCAACACATTTCCTAGAAGGGAAAGTTGAGGCTCAGGGAAGCTGAGTGGCTTGCCAACAAGGAAGTATAGAGAGAGTCTTCCTTAGATCTCTCTGATTCCCAAGCTGGGCTGTTTTGACCAGACCTCAAGAATCTTGACTATCACCAATTATCAAGGATCCTGGAATGCCAGAGTTTGGGACAGCCCAGTTTAATGGGCCAGAAATTAGCTGGCCCATAAAATCCAGGGCAAAAAGCATTAGAGACAAACCTGGGAACTTTATGATAAGGAGCCCAATCCAGGATGAACAGATAACTGTCGTGAATACCTATGTCCCAAACAACATGGCAGCAACATCTGGCAAACAGCAACCTCAGAATCCAGATGAAGAAATAGGCTGAAACATATTGGTAATAATGCCATAAAATTATCTAGACTAAGATTCTTGACCTGGGGTCCTTGGAGCTTCATGATGGACTTTGGTGGCCCATGAGCCCCCTGAGAATCACGCTACATTTTGATTGGATGTATGTGCATTTTTCTAGGAAGATGCTACAGAAAATGGTAAGAACTGCTCTAGCACATTTCTCTCATCTTTCCC
Organism: Homo sapiens; assembly: GCF_000001405.40. Classification (NCBI taxonomy): domain Eukaryota; kingdom Metazoa; phylum Chordata; class Mammalia; order Primates; family Hominidae; genus Homo; species Homo sapiens. The sequence continues at coordinate 109,678,491 of NC_000012.12, forward strand.
CGTATCCCTATTTTATAGAAGGGAATACTGAGGCCCAGGTAGGGGCCATGGCTTGTGCAAAGTTCCACAGCAATTCAGGGTGGAAACCCCAGGTCCAAGCAGGGATGAACTCTTTCTCAGATGCCTAGAGCAGCCAAGTAGGGCTGGGCAGGCTGTGCAGTGCACAACCCCAGGGGCCTTCATGAAGACATTGATGTGCATGACACTCTCCTCGATGGGTTCTGCTAGATCAAGGGGAAGAATTTTTTCTCCTTCACAGTGGCTGCCAGCCCCCCAGGTCCGCAGACTTCTAAGGAAGACCAGCCCCCAGTCCTGCTAAAGGAATCTTTCCTAGGCCCCTCCCAGGGAACGTTCCTGCTGGCTGGGCCGCCAGCATGTGTGAGACATAATTACAGCACGTTGTAAATGGCATTAACAGACTGTCACAGCAGCCACATGGTATTAGCAAATGGCTCTGTCTTCATCAGGCAGTCCCCGCAGCCCCCGGGATAGAGCACTTCCCAAGGGGTCTTCTTCCAGGTCCAGGCTGCATAAGCCTCCTGGTGGGGGACTAGGGGTGGGGGCAATGATTCAACTAACAGAGACCTGGCGGTTCTCCAAGGCTTTCTGAGGTCTCAGCAAAAAGCTGAGTAAAAAGTTAGGAAATCTGATTTGTAAACCTAGTTCAGCAGCAAACTTTCTGTGGGGGACAAACTAACCTTTATCAGGCAGCTACTTATGTGCCAGGTGTTCTAGAATGTAATCTTATTTAAACCTCATAACAACAGCTAAACAATTATATTCACCTTGCTTTACTGAGGCTCAGAGGGGAAAGGTCGCTTGTCCAAGTCCCTTCAGCTAATAAGTGGCAGGTGTAGGATTCAAACCAAGGTTTGATGCCTTCAGAACCTGGGCTTTTCCATATATCATGTGGCTTCTTTGGAAAATTCTTTGATCCGTTTTCTGACAATAGAATCTATAGCCTTGAGGGTAATTGTCTAAAGCTGCCAGCCCACTGGAAAGTCACCAGCCCCTGAGCTCTACTTAATGGGGCTTCCATGGGAGCAACATAGTAACAATATGGTAATAATTGAGATAATAACAATTGTTAAATGTTTCCATACAGTTTATCCTATGATTCTTTGTAACAAACCTATGAAGAAAAAGGAACAAGTAGTCCTATTTGAGAGAGTTGAATACTAAGGTCCAGAGGGGGAAAGGAACTTCCTCAAAGCTCCACAGTAAGTCTGTGGTGGAGCCAGGATGAATTCCCCTTGTGTCCTAATTCTCAGTCCTGTTGTTTTCCCACAAGCCACTGAGAAAGGTGTCCATAGGGCTGCGTCTGGAGACTGAGCAGGAGAGCATTCATTCTTCCGGGTGCTTCCTGCCCTCCCACCTGCCCAGTGGGCACCAGTGATTTATGCTTTATCTGGGAGGCCTCCAGGCTGCAGGCAGCAGGATAGGCTGCTTCCCGACTGGTAAGCAAATCCCCCGCTGAGCAGGTCATATTTTATCCGGGCCACCACCTGCCAGCTCATTTGCTTACGGATACAGGTGCTTCATCAGGAAGGAATTAACGATTACTTAGCCCAGAGACCCCGGCAGATAGAGAGCAAGCCTGGGCCACAGCTGGGGTGGGAAACCAGGAACCTGTCTGTGAGGTCTCTATCTCCTCCCAGACCCTTAGCCTGATCTGGAACCAAAGGATAAGTAGGAGTCAAGGATAGAAGGAGGGGCCAGGTGCAGTTGCTTGCTCACACCTGTAATCTTAGCACTTTGGGAGACCAAGGTGGGAGGATCCCTTGACCCCAGGAGTTTGAGATCAGCCTGGACAACATGGCAAACCCCATCTCTACTAAAAATACAAAAATAGTTGGGTATGGTGGCGCACACCTGTGATCCCAGCTACTCGGGAGGCTGAGGCTCAAACCCAGGAGGTGGAGATTGCAGTGAGCTGAGACTATACCACTGTACTCCAGCTTGGGAGACAGAGCAAGACTCTGTCTGAAAAAAAAAAAAGAAATAAAAAAAGGATAGAAGGAGAAACCTACCTGCTTTGGAGGAAGCTGATCCCCTGCTCCCAACCCCATCCACATTCTACCAGTTCTTCAGAGTTTGGTGCCAATAACCCCATTCTTGGCAGCCTTCCAAGATCTTCTGCTTACCTTACCAAAAATAATACTATAGTAAATTGAACAGTCCCAGATTGTTTATTGGTGCCTAGTACTTTATAAACATTGCCTCATTTAATCCAGACCAACAAATACGAGGCATTTTTAAATTCCTATTTTACATATAAGGAAATTGAAGCTCAGATTAAGCAACTTGTCCAAGGTCACACAATGAGTAAAGGGCAGGGCCTACGCTTCTCTGATTTCAGATCTCCATTCTAAGCAGGATGTACTGCCCCACCCAGCCTGTTCCCTGAACCCCAGACTTTTCTTTTTCAGTGCTTTATTTACTTGCTCATTTATTTATTTATTTATTTTTGAGACAGGGTCTCATTCTGTCACCCAGGCTGGAATGCAGTGGTGCAATCATAGTCCACTGCACCCTCAACCTCCTGGGCTCAAGTGAGCCTCCCACCTCAGCTTCTCAAGTAGCTGGGACTGCAGGTGCGCCACACCCGGCTAATTTTTATTTTTATATTTTTTTGTAGAGCCAGAGGTTTCACTATGTTGCCCAGGCTGGTCTCAAACAATCATCCTGCCTCAGCTTCTTAGAGTGCTGGGATTTATAATCGTGAGCCACCACATCGGGCCTATTTACTTATTTTTAATATAATTTTTAAATTTCGGATCCACAGAAAAGTTTTTCTTTATTTTAGAAACATTATATTTTGCATTTACAGAAAAATTACAGATGGTTCAGAGATAGTACAGAGTTCCCATATACTCCACACCATTTCTCCTATTATTAACGTCTTATGTGAAGATGGTACATTTGTCACAGTTAATGAACCGATATTGATACACTATTATTAACCAAGTCCAAACTTTATTTAGATTTCCTTAGTTTTTACCTAATATCCTTTTCCTGTACCACGATCCTATGCAGGATACCACAGTACATTTAATAGTCACTTTTTCTTCAGCTCTTGTTATGTGGGTCTGTTTCTTGAACTTTGTTTTGATGACCTTTAGGATTCTACAGAGTACTAGTCACATAATTTGTACAATGTACCTCAGTTGGAATTTGTCTGATGTTTTTCTCGAATTAGACCACGGTTATCTGTTTTAGGAGGAAGACCGCAGAGGTAAGTTGCCATTCTCATCACATCAAAGTACATATTATCAACATGACCTGGCCAGGTGTGGTGGCTCACGCCTATAATCCCAGCACTTTGGGAGGCCAAGGTGGGTGGATCAGGAGTTCAAGACCAGCCTGGCCAACATAGGGAAACCCCATCTCTACTAAAAATACAAAAATTAGCCGGACGTGGTGGCACACACCTGTAATCCCAGCTACTCAGGAGGCTGAGGCACGAGAATTGCTTGGACGCGGGAGGCAGAGGTTACAGTGAGCCAAGACCATACCACTGCACTCTAGCCTGCGTGACAAGAGTGATCCCCTGCTCCCAACCCCATCCAAATTCTACCAGTTCTTCAGAGTTTAGTGCCAATAACCCCATTCCCGGCAGCCTTCCAAGATCAAAAAAAAAAAAAAAAAAAAACCAAACATGACCTATCACTGTTGATCTTAACCTTTATCATGAGGCTGAGCTAGTGTTTGTCAGTCTTCTCCACTGTCACATTACTCTGGAGAGCAGTGGCATGATCACAACTCACGGCAGCCTCAACCTCCCGGGCTCAAGCAATCCCCCCACCTCAGCCTCGCAAAGTGGCTGAGATTACAAGTATAAGCCTGTAATGTTACTTTTGTGTTTCCTCCTTTCCATATTGCACTCTTTAGAAGGAAGTCACTAAATGCATCCCAAACTTAAGGAGTGGGAAGTTACGCTGCACCTCCTTGAGGGCAGAGTATTTACATAAATTATTCAGAATTATTCTACAAAGAAGATTTGTATGTTCTCTTGTTTGTTTATTCAATCATTTATTTTTATTAGTGTGGACTCATGGATATTTGTTTTATACTTTGAGTCATGATCCAGTACCACTGTGTGCTTTTTAAATGATACTTGGCTCTTTCTTCCTTGGTTCACCAGTAATTGCCAAAAATCCGTTCTAAGGCAATCTTATTCCATGGCATTTTAATAGGCAATCCCCTCAAAATAGATTTTGGAGGCAAGTCATTTGAGTAATGGTGGAAAAGGATTGGAAAGAGATCTTGACTGCATTGACTGGTCAGATTTTCTTTTTTTTTTTTTTTTTTTGAAGCTAGAATCTTGCTCTGTTGCCCAGGCTGGAGTGCTGTTGTGCAATCAGAGCTCACTGCAGCATTGACCTCCCAGGCTCAAGGAATCCTCCTGCCTCAGCTCTCAAGTAGCTAAGACTACAGGCATGCACCACCATCCCCAGCTAGTTGTTTTTTGTTTTGTTTTGTTTTTGTTTTTCAGAGATGAGCGGGTGGTCTTGTTGGTCTTGAACTCCTGGCCCCAATTGATCATCCAGTCTTGGCCTCCCAAAGAGCTGAAATTATAGGTGTGAGCCACCATGCCTGGCCCAAATCTTTTAATGGGCCAATAATGTGAGTAGTGAATCACTTAGAGGAAGGTCTAATAGGCAACATTTCCCTCATTTTTTTTTCCTGGAACCCTGTTCTGGGGGCAGGGGAGGAGGGACAGGTAAAGGACGCATAGGAGAAAATCATCAAACCAGGAGCTCTTAAGAGCAAAGATTATGTTTTATCCTCCTCTTCCTCTCCAGAAATTAGTACCGAGAAGGTGCCAAGGAAAAGCAGTTAGATAGGTGGAAGGATAGATAGATGGATGGAAGGGTGAGTGAAAGGGTGAATGGATGGATGGATGGATGGATGGATGGATGGATGGATGGATGGATGGATGGGTAAGTGGATGGTTATGTAAATGGCTAGATAGAAACATGGAAAGATGAACAGACAGAAGGATTTGTGGTTGATAGATGGATGGATGAATGGGTGAGTTGGTAGGTGGATGAATGGATAAATAGTTGGGTTGGTAGGTGGATGAATGGATAAATAGTTGGGTTGGTGGTGAATGAATGGATGGATAAATGAGTTGATAGGTGGATGGGTGGATACATAGATGGGTTGGCAGGTAGATAAATGGATGGATGGATGGACAGACAGAAGGATGGATGGATGAATTGGTAGATTGGAAGGTGAATGGGTTGGTAGATGTTGACTTCCAGGTTTTTGTTGTTGTTGTTGTTTTGAGATGGAGTCTTGCTCTGTCACTCAGAATGGAATGTAGTTGTGTGATCTCGGCTTACTGCAACCTCCATCTTCCAGGTTCAAGCAATTCTCCTACCTCAGCCTCCTGAGTAGCTGGGACTACAGGTGTACATCTGGCTACAGGTGTAGCCAGACTACAGGTCTGGCTCATTTTTATATTTTTAGTACAGACGGGGTTTTGCCATGTTGGCCAGGCTGGTCTCGAACTCCTGACCTCAGGTGATCTGCCCGCCTCGGCCTCCCAAAGTGCTGGGGTTACAGGCATGAGCCACTGTGCCTGGCCTCTGACTTCTTGTTTTGATACTTTTCTTTTTTAGTAGAAAGACTATCCCCCACTTCTGTTACCCACAAGTTTCCAGAGTTAGGGCTCGAGATAATTGGTCACTGCTGACAGAGGCAGTGAAAATAGTGACCATTTATTATACCCTAACTCATGCCAGGCACTTTGCATGCTCCTTCATCCTCACAACAGTCTATGTGGTAGGTATTATTATTTCTCCCCATTATTCAAAGGAAGAAACTGAAGACCAGAGAAGTCAAGAAACTTGGACAAAGTCCCCCAGCAGGAAAAAGTGATGGAGCTGGAATTGTCGCTGAGATCTAAGTCTCTTTACTCCCTGGATTCCCCACAATGGCCCTAGGTCTCTAGGCTTATCATCACTTCTCATCCCTTTGCTGGGCCCCACCAGGTCAGTGGGAAGATGACAAAGATCTTCAGTGACCTGGAGAAGAGAGAGGCAACATTACAAGACTTGCTATATCTTTTCATCCAGCACCAGGCTGCAGAATGGTCCCAGCTGAGATAGAACAGAGTCCCTGGAAACAAAGCACCAAGGGGTCTTCAGACCACATGCACGTGTGTATGTATGCATACATTTAAAGATCTATAGAGGTTTTTTCTTTTTTTTCTGTTTTTCTTTCTTTCTTTCTTTCTTTCTTTCTTTCTTTCTTTCTTTCTTTCTTTCTCTCTTTTTTTTTTTTTTTGAGACGGAGTCTTTCTCTGTTGCCCAGGTTGGGGTGTAGTTGCACGATCTCAGCTCACTGCAACCTCCACCTCCCAGGCTCAAGCAGTTCTCGTGCCTCAGCCTCCTGAGTAGCTGGGATTTACAGGCATGCACTACCAGGCCCGGCTAATTTTGTATTTTTAGTAGAGTAATTTTGTATATTTAGTTTCAACATGTTGGCCAGGCTGGTCTCAAACTCCTGACCTCAAGTGATCTGCCCACCTCGGCTTCCCAAAGTTCTGGGATTACAGGCATGAGCCACCGCACCCAGTTTATAGTGTTTTATATAGCTACCTGTGTTGCTTCCAAAAATATGATTTGAAGTAGTTGACATTTTAAAAATCCCTGCCTAGTTATGCCATTAAAATTAGAAATAAAATACAAGAGAGTTAAGTATAAAGAGAGTTGGGAGCAGAGAGGTATCCAGGCTCTCACATCAGAGGGAGTGAGGTAGGGAAAAGGCCTATACTATTAGATGCGGGAATGGGGAATATGCACAAAAAAGACTCTATTCTCTGACCGCCCTGTCTCTGCTTTTCATAGTCTTGCAAGGTCCTCATATTCCCTTAAAATTGTTTAAAAGCCACATTAAAAAAAAAGAATGTTTTTTCCTATCAGTATAGAAAGAGACAAATTACATCAGAAAATCTAGGTTAAGGCAATAATGGCAATTGAAGTCTAAACCTGGTCCTGAGCTTCCTAGCAGCCGTGGCAAAAAGGCAAATGGGTTTGTTTTCTTAGTTCTCACGGGCTTCCAAAATCAATGTTTAAGGAAAGTATAATAAAGTCTAGGTTTTCCAGAGAGAGAGACTTTTCTCCATGCTGAATCCTGAGAGGGGTATGTCCCCTGGGCCATTGGAGCCTCCATGTGACATAGAATGACCCTGAATAACATCATGGTTCAGTTTCTTTATCGCTGTTTTGCATTCTACATGTGGTTCCTTCTCATGTCAACCCTCAGCAACCACCAAGGGCTCCATCAGTTTGTGGCTTTTAAACAATTTGTGGCTTTTAAACAATGGGTAAGCAGTTCTCCTGGGGAAGGAATAATTTGATCTGACTTGATCCAGGGACCAAGCTTGGATCATCTGGAGGGTGGAGGATGAGTGTCTTCGGGCGGCGGCAGCAGCAGCAGATAAGACTCCAGCAGCCCTGGGAGCAAGAGGGGGGTGTGGGAGGCAACGGACACAGGGCAGTTAACATTCCTAGTATCCAGGATTGGACCAGAGAAACCAAGTCTTTCACTCCTTTCTTCCTCCCTGGAAAGGCCTAACCAGGGCATCTGCCCACCAGGAAAAGCCCTCAGCCAAACCTAGTAGAATGAGCTTTGAAATCAGATCGTCAAGACTCAAGTCCTGGATCAGATCGTCAAGGCTCAAGTGCTGGCTCTGTCGCTGGTTAGCTGTGTGACCTTGAACAAGTCTCCAAGCCTTTCTGGTTCTCCATGTCCTCATCTGGAATGCGGAAATAGTCACTGCTCCATGAGGTTGCTGAGAGCCTTAGATGAGGTAACTTTACGCATGTGAAGTCAGGTTAGTATTATAGTTGCCAGTCTCCTTTCTGCCTTCATTTTCTCTCCTTGTCTTGGAACAATCCAGTGTGCTGATGGACCCCATGTGGGAGAGCAGAGCCTGATGCTTCTAGAGTGGGCTTCTTGGGGGTCCATGGCTAGGTTTTACTGTGCTCATGAACCCATGAAACAATAGGCAATATTAAGTGTACAGAGGCATTTTTCTAGGTAGAAAGTCCATAGCTTCTATCAAGTGCCCAAAGGGACCCAGGACCCCAAGAAGCCAGCTGTCACTGCCCTGAGGGGTGGCTCTGACCCTCCTGTCCTTTGCCGCCCTAACACCAGACTCCGGGCCCAGTCCTCAGGTCATCTGCCAGCCTCAAGCGTCATCGGGCCCCAACCTGGCTGGGTTCCTCCTTTGCCACAGCAAGGGGGATGGGCAGACCTGGTTCTTAGAAGGGTGCAGCCTTGATCTGGGCTGGTACCAGGAAATAAAGCTCCAAAAGTGTATTGAGGTCAGGCGCAGTGGTTCACGCCCGTAATCCCACTGCTTTGGGAGGCTGAGGTGGGAGGATCACTTAGGGCCAAGAGTTCAAGACCAGTCTGGACAACAAAGCAAGACCTCGTCTCTACACAAAATTAAAAAATTAGCTGGACACAGTGGTGTGAGCCTGTAGTCCCAGCTTCTCAGGAGGCTGAGGCAGGAGGATTGCTTGAGCCCAGGAGTTTGAGGCTGCAGTGAGCTATGACCGCACCACGGCACTGCAGCCTGGGTGAGAGTGAGGCCCTGTCTCAAAACAAACTCCAAATAGTGTATTGAGAACTTAAAATGAGCTACAAGTGTCTGCACATGTGATCTTCTTTAATTGGCCCTGAGTCCTGGGATGATTATCCCCATTCTAAAGGTGAGGAAACTGAGGCCCAGAGAGGGGAGTGGGAGGGCTCACTCAGAGCTAGAGGCAGTGCTGGGATTTGGGCCCAGTGCTGGTTGATTCCGGAGCCCGTGCTCTTTCCATAGTGTCACAGGGGGCCTAGGAAATCCGTGGGGGCCTGAAGATGGGAACAGGCCTGCAAGGTACCGTTGTTCAGGTTGTACCCTGCCCAGGGACATCTGGTTGAGGGAGTGGCATTGGGAGTGAAATGCGTCTGAAATTTGGCTCGAGGCCCACTAGCCTAGGCTTGTCCTAAGGGCCTTCAACAGCCTAGAGAAAGAGTTGCCTTTCTTTTCTGGGGACAAATTATTGTCCCCAGAATGGGGCTTTTTCCTAATGGGTCAGCCCAGAGTGAGCACCATTTTTTATCATTTCAATAAAGCCCCCAGAAAGGCTCCCTGCAATTCTGGTGGAAACACATTTTTTGGGTTTGTTTGTTTGTTTGTTTGTTTGTTTTGTTTTGAGACAGGGTCTCGCTCTGTTGCCCAGGCTGTGGAGTGCTGTGGTGTGATCATAGCTCACTGCAGCTTTGACCTCCCAGGCTCAAGCAATCCTCCCACTTCATCCTTCTAAGTAAATGGGACTATAGGCATGCACCACCACACCCAGGTAATTTTTAAAATTTTTTGTAGAGATGGAGGTCTCACTATGTTGCCCAAGCTGGTCTCGAACTACTGAGCTCAGATGATCCTCCTGCTTTAACCTTCCAAAGTGCTGGGATTACCAAAGTGCTGGGATTACAGACATGAACCACCACACCCGGCCATGAAACACATTTTTAAAAGGTGTGCACATTGGCATGAGCTGAGACTCTCTGCCTAGCTTCTACAATGACACTTTCAAGATGGAGTCCCATGGGACCTACCTGCCCAGAGAAGCCAGCCCAGCCTCAGCAGGCAGAAGACAGTTCCTGACACTCTCCAAGATAAGCCAGGGCCAAGGAGGAGGTGCAGGGATTGGGACATCATTTACTCTGCTCGGCTGTTCCTAGAGTGCCCCCTCCCACCCCATCTGGCCCCCATCTCCCAACCCCCCGCTAACACATGACCCTCAGGCATGGGAGGCAGAGCCCCCTAGTAGAGAACCATAGAGACCTCAGGCCTATGGTCATTTTCCTAGCCATGGTAGTAATCTACAAACCAGTGGTATCTTTTCAGGAAAGGGTGGGCAGGCCCTCCTGGTCCCTAGAAAATCCCTCCCATGACTGGCATCTCCCAGAAGCATCCTCCCCAGGCCAGCCCTATGGTCACCTATAAGGACTGATTGCCCAGGTCCACCACCACTCAGCACCCATTCTGTCCTCTCTCCTTCTCCTCTCATCCTCCCACTCCCTGCTACCACTTTGGGCCTGATTAACCCCCTGAAATCTGCCATGCCACAATGACTAATCAGGCTCATGCCCTACTAATTGGCACTCAGAGACCTGACAAATGGCTCTGCTGTGGGATTCCAGTGCTGGGCTGGGCTAACTTTCCATACCCAAGCAACCCCCAGTTTGCCCCTAAGACAGGTGGGCTGGAGCCCTAGCAGAGAGGGGGAAGCAGAGGACCCAGGACAGAGGGAGAGCCGCTTAGCAACCCTCTGATTAACTCAGGTCTGCCACTTCCTGACTGTGTGTCTTAGAGCAAATTATCTCCCTCTCTGAGCCTGGCATTCAGACTCTGAGCTTCATCTCCAGTTTTAGCTCCTTAGGTACCCTGCTTCTTCTGCTCCATCCAAACCGCCCAATGACTGTGGTCTAGTCTCAGCACTCTGGGGGAAAAAGGTGTGTGCATTATATGTGTGCATGTGTGCATAAGTTTATTATAAACTTTATTGATATGACAGATGTGTAGCACACTTTTTTTTTTTTTTTTGAGACAGGGCCTCCCTCTTTTGCCTAGGCTAGAGTGCAGTGGTACGATCATGGCTCACTGCAGCCTCGACCTCCTGGGCTCAAGTGATCCTCCCACTTCAGCCTCCTGAGTAGCTGGGACCACAGGCATGTGCCACCATGCCTGACCAATTTTTTATTTTTATTTTTTTGTAGAGACAGGGTCTCACTATGTTGCCCAGGCTGGCTTGAACTCTTGGCCTCACATGATCCTCCTGCCTCAGCCTCCCAAAATGCTGGGATTACAGACGTGAGCCACGGTGCCTGTCCTCTAGCACACAATTTTAAAACAATAGTAAAATACCAATAGCCTTTTATTGTAGATTCCATAGAGTCAATTGATTCTCATAAAATGCTTTCATGGATTTTTGCCAAATTCTGGTATTAGTAGCCAATCTATGGTTAAAATTGATGAGCAAATGTAGTTCAGGCATGGATATTGGTTGGTATTTTCATTTACGTGTTAAAGGGTAAGCTGAAAGTGAAACAGCGACATTGTATTGCAGAACTTCACTCATTCAGCAGTGATGTGAGCAACTTCTTTGTTGAATTGCATAATAATTTTTGAGTACAGGAAGAATATTTTCTCAATTTTTTATGCTATTCACTTGCAATGGCTATAAACACAACATACAGGCCAGGTGCAGTTGCTCACACCTGTAATCCCAGCACTTTGGGAGGCGGGGATCACTTGAGGCCAGGAGTTCGAAACCAGCCTGGGCAACGTAGCAAGGCCCCATCTCTACAAAAAAATATTTAAAAAATTAACCAGGCATGGAGGTACATGCCTGTAAGTCCTAGCTACTCGGAAGACTGAGGAGGGAGGATCGTTTGAGCCCAGGAGTTGGAGGCTGCAGTGATCTATGATCACGCCACTGCACTCCAATCTGGGAGGCAGATTAAGATCCTATATCTAAAGCAAGCAAACAAACAAAGTCTACAAGCACATATAAGTTTAATCTGTGTTATTAACATATTCTGCATTTCTTTCTTTCTTTTTTTTTTTTTTGAAGCAGAGTCTCGCTTTGTTGCCTAGGCTGGAGTGCAGTGGCGCGATCTCAGCTCACTGCAACCTTCACCTCCCGGGTTCAAGCAATTCTCCTGCCTCAGCCTACGGAGTAGCTGGGACTACAGGCGCGTGCCACCACGCCCAGCTAATTTTTTGTATTTTTAGCAAAGACGGGGTTTCACTGTGTTAGCCAGGATGGTCTCGATCTCCTGACTTTGTGATCCCCCTGCCTTGGCCTCCCAAAGTGCTGAGATTTCAGGCGTGAGCCATCACGCCCGGCCTTTTTGTTTTCATTTGAGACAGAGTCTCGCTTTGTTGCCCAAGCTGGAGTGCAGTGGTGCGATCTCAGTTCACTGCAATCTCTGTCTCTGTTTCCCAAGTTAAAGCGATTCTCCTGCCTCAGCCTCCCAAGTAGCTGGGACTACAGGCATGCGCCACCATGCCCAGCTAATTTTTGTACTTTTAGTACAGACAGGGTTTCACCATATTAGCCAGGCTGGTCTCGAATTCCTGACCTCAGGCAATCTGCCCACCTTGGCCTCCCAAAGTGCTGGGATTACAGGCATGAGCCACTGTGCCTGGTCATTTTCTGCATTACTTTCTAAGTTTGGAGTATCAACAAAACAATAAACTAAGCCTTCATTTGTATCACTTGCCAATTTCTGTGGTGTAAATACTCTAATTTCAAACCACCAACATGATGTTAGTAAATGCAGAGAGGGGGAGAGATGGGTAGATACTATTATATGGTTATCTCCACTGTATAGATTCCACAGATGCAAATAACCTTAAGAAATTATTTGCATCTATTGAATATATATTATACAGATAATAGCAAGATGTAGTAAAGCACTAAGGATTGATGAGTTTTGAGTATTTATTACTGTTTTAATATGAATGTATTTAGCTATATGTTTATATAATTTAAATTTTAATAATCACCAAATGTTGTATAAGGAAGAATTTGACTGGCTTTTGTCTCTTATTCCTGGGAGGGAGACTCTAAATCCTTGGAATTCCTCAGAGTAATAGGAGTGACTTCGTTATTTATGAGCCCTTTGGCTTGTTTGTTTGAGATAGAGTTTTGCTCTGCTGCCCAGGCTAGAGTGCAGTGGTACAATCTTGGCTCACTGCAAGTTCCGCCTCCCGGGTTCAAGTGATTCTCCTGCCTCAGCCTCCCAAGTACCTGGGATTACAGGTGCCCACCACCATGCCCAGATAATTTTTATATTTTTAATAGAGACAAGGTTTCACCATGTTGGCCAGGCTGGTCTCGAACTCCTGACTTCAAGTGATCCACCCCCCCCCCCCCCCCTCAGCCTCCCAAAGTGCTGGGATTACAGATGTGAGCCACCATGCCTGGCCTATTTGTTTTGAGATGGGATCTTGCTCTGTCACCCAGGCTGGAGTGCAGCGACATGATCACGACTTGCTACAGCCTCAATGTCCCAGACTCAAGTGATCCTCCTGCCTCAGCCTCCCGAGTAGCTAGGACTACAGACACACACCACCACACCCAGGTAATTTTTTTATTATCTGTTAAGACAGAGTCTCACTATTTTGCCTAGGCTGGTCTCGAACTCCTGGGCTCAAGCAATCCTCTCACCTTGGCTTCCCAAAGTACTGGGATTATAGGCATGAGCTACTGCACCCATCTTATATGCCCTTTGGATCACACCTGAGTTTATACTAAGAGATGAAATGACTCAGGATGGGGTTGGTCACCAGAAAAATGAACCATGTGATTAGAAAGTCTCTGAGGCCCCTAACCTCCAGGTGGGGGAGATGTCTGCAGATTGGCTTCAGTCATATGGCCATTATTCAATCACGTCTACATAATGCACCCACAGTAAAAACTCTTGACACCAAAGCTCAATAGAGCATCCTGGCTGGTGAGCACACTGATGTGCTGGGAGGGTGATATGCCATGACCCCATGGGGAGAGAAGCTCTGAGGTCAGGACCCTCTCAGACCTCACCCTATATGTCTCTTTATTTGGCCAGTCCCAATTTTATCCTTTATAATAAAACTGTAATTGTAAATATAGTGCTTTTCTGAGTTCTGTGAGCCACTCTAGCAAGTTACCAAATATGAGGGGGGTCATGGAAACTCCTGAATTTGTGGCCGGTTGGTCATATGTGCAGGTGGCTTAGGGATCCCTGATCTTGCACTTGACATCTGAAAGGAGGGCAGTATTGTTAGGACTCAGATGCTAACTCTGGGTGGTCAGCATCTAAATTGGATTGAATTGCGGTACACCAGCAGGTATCAGATACTGTGTTTAACAACTGGCTTATAAAATTCCTGAAATTGTAGCAGTTGGGTTTCACTGAGGTGGCACAAGCACCCCTGCCTTGTACTACCTATGAGCCTTCACATATGCCATTCCTCCTTCTGGAATGCCCTCTTTACACTCAGCTTCATTCTTTATTGACTGAGTTATTCAAAATCTTTCTTGAGTGCATGCTCTGCATCAAGCACTATGCTAGGAGCTTGGGAAAGCGAAGAAAATAGACAACCTCTGCAGTGGGTGCTATCAACACCCCACTCAGGTCCTGTGGGATCCTTTTGTCTATTGCTCTGCACCACTCTGCCAGCTTCCATGTGCTGTCCTTCATCTGCCTGCACTTGAGACTCTTCCTCAAAGGACTATCTCTGGGCTTCTGGAGCCACTCTTCTGCCATGTGCAGAGACCCCAGGGGTCTCTCCCTTCACCTTTCTGCTAGGACAGTTCTTAGTCAATGACTGACAGCGAGCATGAAAGCCCAGCTTTCTTGCCTCAGACCAAGATAACCCTGCCATGTAACTCACACTCCAGAGCTCCTGTGTGGGACCATGAGTCTTGTCCTGAGGTTGTACCCTGCCTGGCTTCCTTCCCTTCCCTGTCCTGTTTTCCCCACACCCTTCCTCATCTCCCTTGGGATCACTGGCTTAAACCATCATTTGCACACCAATTCTTGTCTCAGTGTCCAAACCATCTCTGTTCTGTGGAGCTCACAGTCCAGTGGGAAGCTCCCAGCCAAGAAAAAAAAACACCCCACATTTCTTTACAAATGAAGATCAGTGCTCTGAAGGAGCAAGAACAGGGTCTCTGAAAGCTGTAGCTCAGACCTGCCCAGTCAGAGCAACTAAGGAAGGCTCCCTTGAGGAAGGGGTGCTTCTTATAGGATGAACTCTGAAGGATGAGGGGGAGTTTAGCCAGGTTAAGGAGCTGAGAGGCTTTGCAGGCAGGTGGCCTAGCAGGTGCAAAGGCCCTGTGGTAGGAGAGAGAGAGAGGTGGGTGTGGCCTGGAATGCAGAGTGAGATGAAGCTGGAGGAATTGGCAGAAACAAGACAAGACTGTGTGGCTTGTCAGCCTGAGTGGAGATTGGGGTCCATGTTCTGACAGGACTGGAAACACACCTCGCATGGCAAGAGATTTAAATTTTGAAATTTATCCAATTGTAAAATATAAAAGATCTTCAAGTCACAGGAATTAACCATGTGAATCAGCCCACCCAATGAAGAAGGTGACTGCATGAACAAGCATGTTCACTGCGGTGGTGTGTGTGATAGAAAAGGAAACAGAGAAGCAACCTGAATGTCTGCCAAGAGAGGACAGGTTTAATACATTTGGCTATTCATTCATCGGCTCCTCTATCACCTTTAAAAAGCATGAGGGAGATGTGGACGTGCTCACACAGAACTCCCTCTAGGCTGAGCTGTCGGGTGCAGAAAAAAAAACACGCAAATTAGATTGTTGTACGCTCACATCCTCTGAGAAACAGGGTGTATCCAGAAAACATTGACAGAGAGTTAACACACATACACACAATTGTTAAAAGCAGCTACCATGGTGTATGACACATAGTAAACAGTCAATAAATAGTCGAGTGACCAACTGATGAATGAATGAATGAATGAATGAATGCCTTGTTGCTTCTGGGGAGTAGGAATGAAGGTCAGAGAGAGTTTTACTTTTTTATCTTCTATGCTTGCCTGTGACTAATTGTTTTCTATTTGCATATTTTCTTTTATAATTTTAGCTTTTGAAGTATAATTTACAGACAACAAAATTCACTGGTTTTAAGTGTATAGTTTGATGAGTTTTCACAAACACATACAGTCATGTAAACAACAACACAATCACTATGTAGAACATTTCCCCACATTTTCCTCCCTGCTGGGGCCCCAGCTTTGCCTCCTTTCTTGCCTTCGTCCTGAGAAAGGAAGTTGAGCCCAGAGAGGAGGCAGGAGGGAACCCGGGCCCCTCTGAGGGAATTACCTCGTTTAATCCCCACACAGCCTGGCATGGTACGAGGCTCCCTGTTTT
Organism: Homo sapiens; assembly: GCF_000001405.40. NCBI lineage: Eukaryota > Metazoa > Chordata > Mammalia > Primates > Hominidae > Homo > Homo sapiens. The sequence continues at coordinate 109,694,441 of NC_000012.12, forward strand.
AGAGGGGAAGGACAGCTCAGAGGGTGATGAACTGAGGATTCATCTCCTCCCCTGTATTGGCCTACTGAGATGCTTGGAAGCCCTTCAAGATCAAGGAGTGAAGGAAAAAACATCCTAGAAGCACTTGGACCACTGTGAATGTAAGAATGGAGATGGAGGCCGGGCATGCTTGCTCACACTTATAATCCCAGCACTTTGGGAGGCCAAAGCAGGAGGATCCCTTGAGGCCAGATGTTCAAGACCAGCTTGGGCAACATAGTGAGACCCCCCCGCCGTCTCTACAAAAAAAAAATTTTCTTAATTCGCTGGGCATAGTGGTGTGTGCCTGTGGTCCCAGCTACTCAGGAGGCTGAGGTGGGAGGATCACTTGAACCCAGGAGGTCAAGGCTGCAGTGAGCAGTGATTGTGCCACTGCACTCCAGCCTGGACAACAGAGCAAGACCCTGTCTCAAAAAAAGGGGGGCCAGGCGTGATGGTTCACACCTGTAATCCCAGCATTTTAGGAGGCCAAGGTGGGCGGATCACTTGAGGTCAAGAGTTTGAGACGAGCCTGGCCAACATTGTGAAACCCTGTCTCTACCAAAAATACAAAAATTAGCCAGGTGTGGTGGCTCACGCCTATAATCCCAGCACTTTGGGAGGCCGAGGTGGGCGGATCACAAGGTCAGGAGGTCAAGACCATCCTGGCTAACACGGTGAAACCCCGTCTCCACTAAAAATACAAAAAATTAGCCAGGTGTGGTGGCGGGCACCTGTAGTCCCAGCTACTCGGGAGGCTGAGGCAGGAGAATGGCGTGAACCCAGGAGGTGGAGCCTGCAGTGAGCCAAGATTACGCCACTGCACTCCAGCCTGGGCAACAGAGCGAGACTCCATCTCAAAAAATAAATAAAATAAAATAAAATAAATACAAAAATTAGCCAGGCATGGTGGCTCACTCTTGTAATGACAGCTACTTGGGAGGCTGAGGCGGGAGGATCACTTGAACCCGGGAGGTGGAGGTGCAGTGAGCCGAGATCGCACCACTGCACTTCAGCCTGGGCAACAGAGTGAGACTGTCTCAAAAAAAAAAAAAAAAAAAGGAGGAGGAGATGGACAAGGTCATCCTGTCGCCCCCTCTGGTCTCGCACCACTGGGGCATTGCAGGGAGCAGGAAACACCACTGCTTCTCTGGACTACTTGGGTCCATCTCTCCGCTGCCCCCACTGCACCGCCATGAGCTAGCCCAAACCCCTCCAGCTGTGACCTGTCTGACTACAGGAGGCGGAACGAAGGAGTCCCTCCCTACCTGCAGGGTGGAACGTTGGACCCCAGGGTTGGGAAGACGGAAGGAAGTAGACAGCCTCAGGAGACCCAGCTACCTGCCTCGCTAAGAGCTGTTCCTCCTACCTTCCTATTTATATTTCTTGTCGCTTTCCCTACCAATAAAATGGTAATAATCCATTTTTAGCACCCCCAAAGTCCCTACTGCTGGGCTCAGGGACACGAGATGCAGCCTCTGGCTGTCCATAAACACGAGAGACAGATGTTGTCAACATCTGGAGACAAGGGAGGCCCTGTTTGTGCCTGGGTCTGGGAAGTGTGCCCATCTGGGAGGAGTGTTCCAAGGGTAGGAGGCCCCCATCTGTCACTCACCTGGACTGAGGACACTTCCACCCCAGAGGAAGGCCCCTAGGCCCTGGCCAGGGCTTCCAGGCTTGGAGCCCCTTTGGAGGGGAAGCTGGGCAGGCGCCGACTGCCAGGAGGGGACTTCAAAGGCTCCCCTAATCCCTGTGACATTTTCAGACACAGGAGTTGGCTTTTTTCATGCTGAGGATCAAAGCCCAGAGCTTTATAAATAACCCTCATAAAAGCCAAGGAGCTTGTAAAGTCAAACAGTAAGTCACAAAGAGTGTGAGCCTTTCGGAGTAGGAGAGAGGCTGGGGAAGTCCAGCCCCTATCCTCGCTCCACCCCACCAGATGGCCACTCACCAGCACTCCCGGATGAGCCGAGAGATAGAAGGCCCAGTGGGAGGTCAGGAGGAAGGTCTGGGGGTGGCCTGGGTTGGACTTGGAGGTTCCTCTGCCACCCCTAATAGACATCCTAGATCTGGCCATTCATTCATTAAATCATTCTTTTGCTCATTCATTCTTTCAGTCAATCAGTCAATCAACAAACATTTCCTGATCCCATCCGTGGAAAAGACCTCTGGCCAAGGAACATGCACTTTGGGGTCACTAGGGTTCAAATCATAGTACTGCCTCTCCCAACGGGGTGATCTCCAGCAAATTACTTAATCTCTCTGAGCCTCAGTTTCCTCACCTTTAAAATGGGGATACATTTTGAACCTGTCCTAAGAGAGTTCTTGAGGAACTTCAGTGGGCATGGCAGGTGGGAAACACTCAAAACGTGGGTTATTATTACCATTAATCAGACAGCAATAGTAGTCATCAAAGGTGGTCTCTACAAGGTTGTTTTTGTTGTTGTTGTTGTTTTGCCTGGCTCTCAGTCTCCCCTAAATAACTTCCCCTTCTGCAGGGCCTAACTGGGAGGTGGGTTTTGGTTTGTGTTTTCTGTGAGTCACAGAGGCCATGAGTCATCACCCAAGAAGAGGCTGTTTCAGAGCCAGGGGGTCATAGATTCTAGTCCCATGCCCAGCACTTTCCAGCTGTGCGCCCTTGGGGGCCCCTGTCCTCCCTCTCTAAGCCTCAATTTCCTCATCTGTAAAATGAGGGCAGTGGGGAGGATCCAGTGAGGGTAGGAATATCCAGTGCCTGGCGCATAGTAGGTGCTCAGTAAGTGGCTGCGGATGCTTTTTTAGCCCTTCTCCCAGTGAGAATTTCCAAGAGAGAGGTCAGCATCAGTGTGGAAGAGATTAGAAGATGATGGGGGTCCCTGAAGCTCAGCATGTTGGAAGCTGCGGCCTGGGACCTCCCTTGGATGAGGAGGCCAGGAAGTAGGACAGACTGTACCAGTGTGTTGCCCTCACCTCATCAAAGGACCTTTTCTTTTTTTATTTTTCCTTTTTTTGTTTTTTCTTTCATGAGATGGAGTCTCACTCTGTCTCTCAGGTTAGAGTGCAGTGGCATGATCTCGTCTCACTGCAATCTCCACCTCCCAGGTTGAAGCAATTCTCCTGCCTCAACCTTCAAAGTAGCTGGGAATACAAGCACACACCACCACACCTGGCTAATTTTTGTATTTTTTTTTTTTAGTAGAGATGGGGTTTTGTTATGTTAGCCAGGCTGGTGTCGAACTCCTGACCTCAAGTGATGCACCTGCCTCGCCCTCAGAAAGTGCTGGGATTACAGGCATGAGCCACTGTGCCCGACCAAAAGAGCCTTTTCTAATTGCAGAGAGTAGCTTCAGGATATCAGTAAGTTCATTTCATAGATGAGAAAAACTATAGTCCAAGGTGGTGAAGGCATCTAGACTGGAATTCAAACCCAGGCCTGGCTGATTCCAGATTAGCCTTTTCTGCAGCTCCTGTACAGGCGCTAAAGGTGGGCAGCCCAGAGCCAGCTTCTCCCTGGCTTCTCCTAGGCAGCATCTAGCTGACCAGGTTATTCCAGAGAAGGCAAATTAGTGTCCAGGGCTGGCCTCACATCCAGGCATCTCCTGTTACAGGGGATTCAAATTTAGCTGCATCCACCCCAGCTGCCAGCATCCTGGTTCTCTGCAAAGAAGGTCGAGGGCCAGGAAGCCAGGCAGGCGTGCCAGCGAGTGCCATTCATTGGTTCAGCTACTCACTCATTCAGTGCGCGGTCAGTCACTGAACAAATGCTTATTAGCGCCTTCCACGTGCCAGGCCCATACAGGACGCCAGGGCTACAGTGCAAACCAGATTAAGTGTGGTGCCTTATCTAACCTCCCCCGACCCTGGAGCTCACAGCATGTGAGTAGATGATAGGGGTATTGTGATGAAGTTGAGGGTGGGGCGTGTAAAGATGTTGCTTGGCCCCTCATGGAGGAGCATCAGTGAGAACTTCCCAGTGGAGGTGACAAGTGAGCTGGGACCAAACTCAGTAGAAGGTAACCTGGGAAAGGAGACCAGGAAAGGCATTCAGGCCAAGGGAACAGCCTGGGCCAAGGTGGGAAGGCACACAGTATAGACATAGAAGAGCCCCTTCCCCCAAACACGGCTTTGTCCTGTTTCAAGCATCCTCTGGCCAGGTGCGGTGGCTCATGCTGTAATCCCAGCGCTTTGGGAGGCCGAGGCAGGAAGATGGCTTGAGCCCAGGAATTTGAGACCAGCCTGGGTAACATGGCGAAACCCCATCTCTACAAAAAATACAAAAATTAGCTGGGTGTGGTGGTAGGTGCCTGTAGTCCCAGCTACCTGGGAGGCTGAGGCTGGAGAATCATCTGAGCTCAGCAGGTCAAGGCTGCAGTAAGCTGGGATCACACTGTTGCACTCCAGCATGGGCGACAGAGGAGACTCTGTAAGAAAATAAAAATTAAAAAAAAATCCAACTCTGAGTGACTGGTGTGTCTGGTATTCTGTGATCCTCATATCCACCTTGTCGTCCACCCCCATGCCCAGGTAGATATTATTATTCCCTTTATGGCACCTGAGTCAAGGGAGGCTCAGAGAGGTTGATAATTCGCTCAAGGCCACACAGGATCCAGACCAGCCTGATAGATGCAGCTGTCAGTAGCTGTTTTCTGTTTTGTTTTGTGATGGAGTCCTGCTCTGTCGCCCAGGCTGGAGTGCAGTGGCGTAATCTTGGCTCACTGCAATCTCCGCCTCCCAGGTTCAAGCGATTTTCCTGTCTCAGCCTCCTGAGTGTAGCTGGGACTACAGGTGCCCACCACCACGCCCAGCTAATTTTTATATTTTTAGCAGAGATGGGGTTTCACCATGTTGGCCAGGCTGGCGTCAAACTCCTGACTTCAGGTGATCCTCCAACCTTGGCCTCCGAAAGTGCTGGGATTACAGGCGTGAGCCACCGTGCCCAGCCCCCAGCTAAATTTTTTTTTTAAAATGTTTGTAGAGATGGGGTTTTGCCAGATTGTCCATGCTGGTCTCAAACTCCTGGGCTCAAACAATCTTCCTGCCTTGATTTCCCAAAGTTCTGGGATTACAGGTGTGAGCCACCTCACCTGGCCCAGGAGCTGTTTATCTGGGGCTCTCTCAGAGCCTCCGGGGCTTACAGTCTGCACCTGGGCAAGTCATCTCTCCTCGTTAAGCCTTAGTTTTCTCATCTGCAAAATGAGACCCACGTGGCTGACTCCCCTGGACAGCCCCCACCCCACACCTGTTATAGCCACTTCTCCCACTGACCTCATCAGGGCAGGTGGCCTGGAAGCAGTGGTTCCTGGGGGAGGCGCAGCCACAAACCCTGTCCCAACCAGGGCAGGGACAATGGGATCTCCCTGATGGCTTCTGGCCTAATTGCCAGCAAACCCCAGGGAGCTGTGGCTGCTTCATGCTACCTCCTTAGGATCATTTCATGACTCGGGAGGCATATTGGGAGCTCCTCTGAGCCAGCCCTGGGACCTAGCTCCTCTGTGGCCAAAGGATGGGCTTCTAACACCAGACTGGGCACCTCTACCTGCTGATCCACACTGGGTGCCTCTCATAGCTGCTCTCTCCCAATTCCCAAGGTACCTTGTGAGGTCAGTACCTATGTGCCCCTTTCCAGACAAGACATCCCAGAGACGGGGAGGACTGCCTCAGTTCCGCCTTCTGGGAGATAAGAATGATGAGGCCTGCCTCATGGGCAATACTGGCCCTTCCTGAGCCTCAGTTTCCTCATCTGTAAAATGGTGTGAATCTGACTTGCCAGGTTAGTGTAAGAATTTACCACCAAATAATAACAATAGCGCACAATTATTATTATTATTGAGATGGAGTCTTGCTCTGTTGCCCAGACTGGAGTGCAATGGAGCAATCTCAGCTCACTGCAGCCTCCGCCTCCCAGATTCAAGCAATTCTCCTGCCTCAGCCTCCTGAGTAGCTGGGACTACAGGCACGTGTCACCATGCCCGGCTTATTTTTGTATTTTTAGTAGAGATGGGGTTTCCCCATGTTGGCCAGGCTGGTCTCGAACTCCTGACCTCAGGTGATCCACCTGTCTCGGCCTCCCAAAGTTCTGGGATTACAGGCATCAGCCACCAGGCCAAGCCAATAGTGCAAAATTATTGAGCACTTACTACGTGCCAGCTGCTTTTCAGGGGTTCTGCGTGCATTAACTCCTTTAGTTCTCACAGCAATCTTAGGAGATAGGGTTTGCTATTATCCTCATGTTACACCTGAGCAAACAGAGGCACCAAGAGGCTGAGAAGAAACTCCCCCAAACACACATAAAGGGCTTAGCACAGAATAGGCCTCCATAAAGGTTAAGGCTTATTTCTCCTTCATTCCCTCCAATATCAAGCGAAGCCCTTTCCCACCATCCATACCCTCCCAGTTTTCCTCTGCCTTCTCCGGACAGCCACAGAGGGTGTCATTCATGGGATCACCTGGGGACCAGAGTTGCAAAGCTTTTACCTTAAGTTAGACCCAAAAGGAACTTCCAGCCCCATGGGGACCGTGAACAGATGAACATGCCCCCCAAATGAGAGATGCTGAGATATAAACCAATCCTGGGACAGAAATCGGAACAGGAGTCCTTCCTAAGTCCCTTCCACTCTTAGATTCTAAAAGCAGGACTGCAATGTGGTCTGTGTGGTGCCATCTCTCTTGCATGTTTCTCCCTGGGGCTGGGAAATGCCAAGCTATTGTCTGGCACTGGGGGAGGGGGAGTTTCTCTGTGACAAGGTCCTGGGATTGGTGAGTACACCTCCTTCCACACCCCATGCACGCCAGCCCCCCAGAGCAGCTGGGCAGCATTTCTGCTGTCTGTGGGCTCATTTATCATTCAGAGGGGGGCATTGCTGCCGTGAGGTCCCCAGGGACGGCTCTGCCGTGGCCCCATCTGATTGAAATCCAGGCCCAGAACACACTCAGCCAGGAAAGTGGCTGCCTGGAACCCGAAATAAATAACACCATGGGCAGGAGGCACAAATCTGCTGCTAATTACGGCATATCCTGATTAAATGGGGTGCGTAAATAAATATTTCAGCTCAGAAGATGAATAGGCTGCAAGAGCTGCTGTGGCCAGCCCTGTTCCAAGCCCCTCTTGCCCTTCTTCTTCCTCATGGTGCCAAAGGACAGGGCCTTGGCTCCACTTGCAGTGTGGCTCAAGATCTGTCACTCCCCTACTCTGGACCTCAGTTTCTTCTTTATCAAACAGTGCCAAAGATCACCATTCAGCCAACTTTGCAGTTCTGGTGTGAGGATATGAACAGAGCATTTGGGGCGATCAGATTTTGACAGAGCCAAGGTGGCAGTGATTATGAATGGTAAAGAATTTGGAATTTGGGCTGGGTGCAGTGGCTCACACCTGTAATCTCAGCACTTTGGGAGGCCAAGGTGGGAGAATAGCTTGAACCCAGGAGTTTCAGATCAGCCTGGGCAACATAGCGAGACCCTGTCTCTGTAAAATAAAATTTAAAAATAAATAAAAGCATGAGAAAGTTGGAGCCCACCAGTCTTGAGTTTGAATGCCAGCTGTGGAACTCTTTCTGTGCTTCAGTTTCCCCTTCTGCAAATTGGTGGGATGTGAAGAGCCAGTGAACCCTGTGGGCTGTGGTAGCTACTCTTGATGGTAACCCAACTCCATACACTTGAGTCCTGGTAGTTATTGTCATTATACATGGAGGTGCCCAGAAGACCCAGCCTCAGGCAAGGCCCGCATTCTCCACTCCGTGCCCATGTGGACGCCCTGCCTGGAGACCGTGCTTGCTCTCCCAGATGCCACCTCCTTATTTCCGTGAGGCAGAGCGATAATAGAATCGGGGGCCCAGGGGAGGGTAGGAGGAGGGAGAATCATCCTGGAAAAGTTTAAATCAATTAACTTCCTTCCAGAAAACAGACTGGGAAATGTAATGGAGAAATAATGACTCTTCTCCGCAGGATTAAGTGACATAGACCAGGGCCCAGCAAGGAACTGCAGAGGCAGGCTCAGGAGTCTTGTCTCTGACTGCCTGTGTGGCCTTGAGCAAGCCTTAGTCCTTCTCTGAGCTTCCTCTGAGCTGCCCTCTTCCTTCTCTGAGTTTCCTCATCTGTACAAGGAGAGGGCTTGGACCAGCATCAGGAATGGCTAATCAATAGCATGGCTTCCCTAACTCTTCCCTTCCTTGCCCACTGCAGGCATTGCTAATCGGTTGCAGCACCATTCTCACTAAGCCCAGATGAAATAGCAAAGCAACCCAAGCCAATACTCCAGGCATTCCCTCCTGATGAGTCAGAGTGGGCACCCAGGCACCAGACCAGTTTAGATGGTCTCCAAGTCCTCATCTAGCACTAGGCCAATATTGGTGTTATTATTATTGCTATTGTAGGTGTTATTATTGCTGTTGCAGACTCAGTGTCCATCATAGCACTAACAACAAACGTTGAAGTTCATTGAGTGTTAGCTGTGGGCCAGGCACTATTCTAAGCACTTTCACATTTTAACTTACTACAGCATCATAACCATTGGACAAGGCAGTTCTTCTTCTTATTATTATTATTATTTTATAGATCCAAGGCCTAGAGAGGGGAAGTGATTGGCCCAAGGTCACACAGCTAATAAGTGAGGCAAGGATTCAAATCCATGCCTCTGAGGCCAGGTGTGGTGGCTCATGCCTGTAATCCTAGCACTTTGGAAGGCCAAGGTGGGCAGATCACTTGAGTTGGGGAGTTGGAGACCAGCCTGGCCAACATGGTGAAACCCCGTCTCTACTAAAAATACAAAAATTAGCTGGATGTGGTGGGGCACACCTATAATCCCAGCTACTCAGGAGGCTAAAGCAGGAGGGTCTATTGAGCCCGGGAGGCAGAGGTCACAGTGAGCTGAGATCACACCACTGCACTCCAGCCTGGATGACAGAGCCAGACCCAGTATTAAGGAAAGAAAAAAAAATCCATGCCTCTGCCTCAACTGAAACAGTCCAGATGGGGTAAAGAGACCCTTCCCTTCTCTTGTAATTGGAAGTCAGGGGAAGAGAGCCATCCTTTCTCCATGCTAAGCTCTGTGCCAAATTCATCACACACATGATCAGTTTGGAACTGTAATTATCCTCATCTTCCAGATGGGGAAACTGAGGCTCAGAGGGTTGATGGGACCTGCCCAAGGTCACGTGGCTGGTTGTTTTCAAGGGTTAGGGGGGTGGCGCTGCTCTTCTTTTCCCATCTGCCCTCTCCCCGCCTGCACTGTGAGCCCCTGAGGGCAGAAGCAGTGCCCGTTTATCCTGGAATCTCCGGCCTGGCACCTGGCACACTGGAGTTGCCGAATGAATGAAGGATGCAGCTAGTATGAGAGGAGTGCCAGGCTTAGGGTACATGCCAACTCTAAGACCATCACCAGCTGTCAGACCCGAGCTGACTCCTCGTCCCTGTCCTTTGCTGACTCACCTGCCCTGCATGCGTGACCTCTCACCTCTGTTCATGGTCCCAGATGACCCAGGGGCTTCTGGTTGGGGTCCAAATCCATCATTGCTGCATGGTCTGTCCCAGCCCTGCCTCCTCCCATCCATCTTCCCACTGCAGCTCCAGAGAAGGGGACGGTGCTGGGATGGAGGGGGAGGGGCATGGTCCCACCCCAGGATACTGTTGGCTCACTGAGTCTTCCCCAGTGTCCTCCCATCACCTCTCAAATAGCCACTCCCCAGGGCCAGGCACAGCGGCTCATGCCTGTAATCCCAGTACTTTGGGAGGCTAAGGCGGGCAGATCACCTGAGGTCAGGAGTTCAAGACCAGCCTGGACAAACTAGTGAAACCCTGTCTCTACTAAAAATACAAAAATTAACTGTGCATGGTGGCAGGCGCCTGTAATCTCAGCTACTCGGGAGGCTGAGGCAGGAGAATTACTTGAACCTGGGAGGTGAAGGTTACAGTGAGCCAAGATCATGCCATTGCACTCCAGCCTGGGCAACAAAGTGAGACTCCCTCTGAAAAAATAAATAAATAAATAAATAAGCCACTCCCCAATCACAGGTCCCTTTGGTCAAATACCATGATACTCAATGTATAAGACAGCCAAAAGCAGAGGGCTCTGGCTGGTAGGTGTGGGTTAGGGGAGTTCAAACTTGTGCCCAACCCTCACTCCTTCGCTCTCATTAGCCCCCAGGGTGGAGTCTTCCCAGAAACTTCCAGAAAGAAACTGTCCCAGGGACCAGGAAGGCTGAGTTTGAGTTTGATGAGCAGCCACTGGCTCACTGTGGCAAATCTCTTCCCCTCTCTGAGCCTCAGTTTCCCCAGTGATGACATGAGAGGATTGAACCAGAAGTTTTCAAATCTTTATTGTTGAAACTGTAAAAACGCTGAACCCCAATTTGAAAAGGGGTTCAGACCCCAATTTGAAACGGGATTTATCCCCCTGTCTTCATGCCACCCCATGCCAGGTCAGAGGGGGCCTAGCCATCTCTCCAGAAGAGTTCAACTTTGTTCAACAAGCACATATTGAGCTCTTGTTGTATACCTGGGCTCTGTGCCAAGCCTTGACCATACAAAGATGAAAAAGACCAGGTCCTTGACTTCAGATTGAAATTGAACATGCCCTAGTTGAAGTTGGCAGTGCAGGGACTGGAGTGCAGATTCCAGAGCTTTATCTTTTCCACCACCTCCGCCCACCCCTTTCACCAACTAGAGGTCCCTGAGGCATCTTCCTAAAACCCTAAGGCTCCTAGAAATGTTTTGAAAGTACCAGATTAGACTTTTTTCAAGCATTTTATTATGAAAAAATTCAAACATACAGCAAAGTTGAAAGACATTTACAATGAACACTTTAATATCCACCACCTGGTGTCTACCATTAATATTTTACTGTAGTTGCTTTATCCAATAAGGGCACCCTCCCAGCCCTGCAAGATTTCATGACTCAGAGAGGGCTATAGTGAGGAGTTTGAGTTCTTTTTGGGAAACCCTATGAATCTGTGATGGCAACACCAGCGGCTGCAACAGACACAGGCATTTAAGCAGTATATATCATGCAGCAGTTTCAAAGCTTATGGCATTGATCAACAGGTGGGCAACTTTCATCCACAAGTGATTCAGGGATCCAAGCTCCATCCATCTTTTAGCCCTGCCCTGCCTAGGAAGAGTCGATCTTCTGCCTCGGGGCACAAGAGAAAGTTGGTGGAAAAGGGGCACAATCACACAATCACTTTTTTTTTTTTTTTTTGGACGCTGGGTCTTGCTCTGTTGATTAGCCTGGAGTGCAGTGGCACAATCTTGGCTCACTGCAGCCTCCACTTCCTGGGCTCAAGCAATCCTCCTGCCTCAGCCTCCAGAGTAGCTGGGACTTCAGGTGCGCACCACCACGCCTGACTAATTTTTGTATTTTTTTGTAGACACAGGGTTTCACCATGTTGCCCAGGCTTGTCTCAAACTCCTGGGCTCAAGTGATCCTCCTGCCTCAGCCTCCCAAACTGCTGGGATAACAGGTGTGAGCCACCGCGCCCGGCCTCACAACCAATTCTTATATCACACTTGCTCACAGTTCATACACAGATGATAGTATGCATGTATGTATCATACATAGATACATAGTTCATTAATACAGAGATGAAAAAGACCAGGTCCCTGACTTTAGAGCCTTCCAATAAGTGAAACAGACGTTTATTTCCTCTTAGCTGTCCCTTTTCTGAGAGAAAGCCCATCAGATTTTCCATTTTGCAAGGGTGGGTGGATCTGACATTGGAACACTGGAGGAAGGATTTGATTCAATAAATCTTTACTGGGCACTTTCCATGTGCCCAGCATATTCATGTGGTTGAACTCATTGAGTTTTTTCCTTCACTGTTGCAAGAGCATTTTCCCCATTTTATATGAGAGAATGTTGAGATTCAAAAAATAAGCATATATATATATATATCTTGGAATGGATGCCAAGGCTCAGAGTGGTGAAGTAACTTGCCTAAGGTCACACAGCTAGTGATGGAGCTGGAATTGAACCCAAATATCACTTCCTAGTTCCTTGCTTTTTTCTGCATCATCAGGGTGTCTGCTGGAATCAGGGTGAAGACATACAGAGGGTAGGTTTCCTGACAAAAGCCATTCCTCAGGCCCAAGCTAGGGTCTCCATATGCATCTCTTCATCTTCTCCTCCCTTACACTCCATGAGGTTGGTGCCGTCATTCTTGCCTTTTCAGAAAATGGGAAGCTGAGGATCAGAGAGGTGAAGCAACTTACCCGAGGTCACACAGCCAGTTTGGTTTCATATTTCAACCTATTTGACCTGGGGCACATCTTGATGTATCACTGGTTTTTATGCTGAACATAAAGGCAGCAGGATTGTTCCTTGTCACAAAGATGGTTTAAAAGGCAATGAGACAACACTGGCTCCACTAACAATGGCGAGAACATATTTTAAGGCCATGGAGTGGCATCTCTGAGCGATAATGGTTTACAGAACAACTCCAGGCAATTTAGTAGATCCCCTAACTCCTGGATCCCAGCCAGAAAGGGGCTCTGTGGCAAGGGCAGCCAGAAAGGGAGCTCTGTGGAGCTCCCTGGGTCTGAGCCCAGGTCTGGGGCTGCGGGAGGGAGCCCAGTGCAGCTGGGCAAGAAGTTGGGACCCAGCCTATCGAAGACGAAGGGCCCAATCAATGCTATCTCCCCGGGCCATGCCTGGCCAGACATTGATTTCTACTGCTGTTGTTAACTCCCTGTTTATGTAACGCCTGAACTTTGCACAACTGAACCGTTTAATGTGCAGAAGAGGGCCTGTTGCCATGAAAACCAGGCTGCTCATGGCAGCTGGGATGCAGCGGTATCCCTGTTTTATTGGCCTGAGCTGAATGTATTTTAACCTTGATAAGTCAATAACTTTTTGTACAAAAGGAAATCTGCCAGGAGGGCTTAGGAGGACCTGGGAGAGCCTGCTGGCCTTTCCAGGTTGGAGAGGAGGCGGGGCTGGCTGGGTTTAATCCCCTGGAAATATCCCTGCCACTCACAGCCTGGGAGAACCATGCCCAGCTGGCCAGAGGACAGAGAGAACCTTGGAGGGGGATGGTGGGGACCACCCATGCCTCCAATCACTATTTCCTGTCTGGTAAGGACTGCAGCTAAGTCAGACACCCACTATGGCAAAGAAACCGACCAGGGTTCAAATATTGGCTCCACACACTCGGGAGCTCTGTGTGACCTTCAGCAAGGCCAGTGACCCCAGCCTCAGAATCAGCATCTCTAACACAAGCCATCAGTTCCTCTTCACGGGCGTGTTGCAAAGTTAACAGATCATGTATGCAAAGCACCTGGGGTAACTCCTGGTCAACAATGGGGCCTTCATAGATTATTGTTGTTGATATATTTTACAATAATAATCATTGATTATATTTGTAGAACACATTAGGCTCCAGGAAATGTTATATCCATTTTCTCATTACACGCCTGGCTAATTTTTATAGTTTTAGTAGAGACAGGGTTTTGCCATGTTGGCCAGGCTGGTCTAGAACTCCTGGCCTCAAGTGATCTGCCTGCTCGGCCTCCCAAAGTGCTGGGATTACAGGCATGAGCCACTGCGCCCATCCATCATTACACTCCTTGATTTAGGCAGGGCTGGGCTAGATAGCCCCACTTTTTAGATAAGGACACTGAGGCCCAGGGAGGTTGGCTCTCTTATCTGAGGGGTCACATGATGAGATGGTGGTGCCGACTGAAGGAACCAAGTCTCTTGACTCCCAGCTTAGTGCTCTTTCAAACTCAAAACCACAAACACAGAAATAGCCTCCATGCTATCAGGAATAGCCCAACATCCAGCCCCAGACTCATGGCAGACATCATTAATCCACGGCAGCACCGCAATCTTTCCCTTCTGAGCCTGGGCGAGACCTCAGAATCCTCCTCAACACAGAGCAGGTGTTTGAGATGAGACTCATGTGGAACCAGATGCCCTGAAAGGGCTCTGGGTTCAAGTTCCACCCCTGGCCCAAACTTGCATGACTTTGGGCAAGTGCCCTCCCCTCTCTGGGCCTCCTGGTCCCCAGTGGTGAAACAAGGGGGACGTTTAATGGTTATTGATTCTGAGGGGGTCTCCCAGGTGGAAGGGACCCCCTACCACCTCCTGGTTCCTATCCCAACTCCCCTGCAACCAATCCCTCTGAACCTTCTTCAACTCCATCCACAAATAATGACCTAGATCCTACTATGTGCCAGTGACTATGCAAGGTGCTGGGGACACAGCGGTGAAGAAATGACAGTCTCTCCCCTCCCAGAGCTAAGTCTAGAGAGGTAAACAGAAAATAAACGTCATCCAGGCCGGGCGCGGTGGCTCATGCCTGTAATCCCAGCACTCTGGGAGGCCGAGGCGGGTGGATCACTTGAGGTCAGGAGTTCAAGACCAGCCTGGCCAACATAGTGAAACCCCGTCTCTACTGGAAAAACAAGAAAATACAAAAATTAGCCAGGTGTGGTGGCACGTGCCTGTAATTCCAGCTACTCGGGAGGCTGAGGCAGGAGAATCGCTTGAACCTGGGAGGCATAAGTTGCAGTGAGCCAAGATCACACCACTGCACTCCAGCCTGTGCAACGAGTCTGTCTCAAAAAAAAAAAAAAAAAATAAGAAGAAAATAAATGTCATCCTGCAAGTGCTCAGAAAGCTGCCAACAGCAGTAAGCACTGACGAGAGGGAAAGCAAAACAAAAGGGAGGTGTTCTGGGGAAAATAACTTCAGATCGGGTAGTCAGGGAGGGCTTCCCCGAGGAGGTGACATTTAAGCTGAGACTGGAAGTATGAGAACAAACCAGAGAGCAAAAGGAAGAATGTTCCAGGCAGAAGGAACGGCTTGGGTCAAGGCCTTGAGGTGGGAAATAGTTTGGCACCTTCAAGTAACCAAGAGGAGACTAAAGTGGCCAGAAGGGAGTGAGGGTGGGATATAGTCAGGGAGATGGGCAGGGTTCGGTTCCTGAGGCCACTTGGACTTCTTCAGCCCTACACATAGCTCACCCCCTCCTCCTTGCCCCACTAGGCCTGCCCCAGAGAGAGACTCAGGTACTGGGGGGCGGGGCTGGGTGAATAACAAGGTTACATGTGTTTCTTCTTTCCCCGTTTCTCCAGGAGGAGCATAAAGAGCTCTTTCTTTTCTGCTTATTAATAGCTCTGATTAAATTATCTCTGAAAAACCTACGTGGCGTGCACCAATGGGGGCTGGGCTCCCTCCGGGCTCTGGCCTAGATCACAGCAATGAGGGCAGGTGAGGCAACTGGGGGTGGGGTGGGAGGCTGGAGCAGGCCTGCCCCCTCTGCCTGCATAAATGCCCCGTCTCTGCCTGCTCCCCTCTCCCCAGCCCCAGCTCAGCCTCTCACCCACCTCTGCTTTTGGGGCGTTCACATCTCCCTCACTTGGAACACTAGGCCTTTGCATTGGTTGTTCCCTCTTCCGGGGGCGCTCTTCCCTCACCTCTGCCCTTGGCTACCTCCTACCCATTTTTCCCAGGGTAGCTGACTTGCCTTTTTACCATCACTGGCCCTCCGCTGAGTCAGGTGCCTGCTTCGGACTGTCCCCTCTACTGGTACCCTGGATGACACCTGTTAGTTGCCTTCTCTGTGCCCCATGAAACCTGAGTTCCAAGAGGCCTATGTCTTGGTCTGAGTCACTGCTGAATTCCCAGTGTCAAGCACAGGGCAGGTACTTAGAAAATGTTGAATGAATGAGGGAATTAGCAGACTTAAAGGGGGAATGCTCAGGCTTCAGTGCGTGAGACCAGAGAAGGGCAAGGCAAAGATGGACCAGGTGGCTCACGTCTGTAATCCGAGTACTTTTGGAGGCCGAGGTGGGAGGATCACTTGAGCCCAGGAGTTTGAGACCATCCTGGGCAAAATAGCAAAAGCCCGTCTCTTCAACAAATTTAAAAATTAGTTGGGCATGGGGGCATGCACCTTGTAGTCCTAGCTACTCAGGAAGCTAAAGTGGGAGGATCACTTGAGCCCAGGAGTTCAAGGTTGCAGTGAACTATGATGGTGCCACTGCACTCCAGCCTGGTGACAGAGTGAGACTTTGTCTCTAAAAAACAAAAAAACAAAAAAACAGAGAAGAGCAAGACTAGCCTTACATACGTGGGAGGGTGGGAACAAAAGTTCCAGCCTCCAGGCCCCTTGAGTGATGCCTTGATTAATTGAAATGGCAATTAATCCCATTTCAAAGATGGGGGAAACTGAGGCACAGAGCGGCTGAGTCATATGGCTAGTAGCCCAGTCAGCCTGACTCTACTCCCTTCTCTTAATTCTCCTCCTCTACGTGAAAACAAAACAAAACAAAAACTTGGGCCACATTCATTCAGTGATTCAGAGATTAAGTCAACAGACCTTCATTGAGTGCTGACTCTATGTCAGGCCTGTGCTAGGGAATAAAATGAACTGAATGCAGCCTTTGCCCTGGAAAAGCCCTCAGGCCAGTGGGAAGCCTGACAAAGAAGTGGGCCATTATAACACACACTGGACACATCTGTGAAGGGGGAAGTGCTCCAGCCTGGAGCAGGGTAGTCAGGGAAGGCTTCCTGGAGGAGGCAGCACTTTGGCTGAACTCTGAAGGAGGAGCAAGAGTTAGCTACCTGGAGGGAGGGCATTCTAGGTAGAAGGAACAGCATAAGCAATGACCTGGAGGTGAGAGAGGCACGTGCAAGGATTTGTAGGTATTTCAGCAAGGTTGGTGTGTGGGAGGCAAACAAGAACAGTGAGAGATGAGATGCCCTCTGCCCCCTGCCCCCTCAGGGCCTGTCGGACCCCTGGCCAGAGCCAGTGTTCCGGGGCTGGCCTGCCTGGTGGTTTTATGGACCGTGGCAAATCCATCTTGACACTGTCTCCAATCACATAATGCAGTTATTGGAGTCGACCAAGAGCAAAGGCACGAGGGTCTGATCTCAGGGAGATGGGCATATGGGGTAGGGGGGCACTGGGAGTGTGGGGAGTGGGGCAGAGCATCTTACGGGGCATTCACCTGCCTGGAGGGGAGCGACAGGCATCTGGAAGGCTCTGACCTCTCCTGCTGGACAGCTGCCTTGGAGCCTGCTGCTGTCGGAAATTCCACCATGAGCACATCGTGGACTCATAGAACTTCAGAGATGGAGGGGTCTTTTGAGATCTTCTCGACCTGGGGTTGTCAGCCCTGGCTGTATCAGGAACCACATAGGAGCTTTGGAAACTGCTGTCCCACCAAGGAGAGTCTGATTGGTAGGGCTGGGGTTTGGGTCCTACCCTCCATTTCATGGCAGGGGAAACTGAGGTCCAGAGAAGAGAAGAAACTCCCCTCAAGGTTGCACACGGTCAGACAGTGGCTGCCACAAGGTGCAATAAATCAACGTCAGGGCTCTGGACTTTGGTTCTGTCATTTGTGTGACCTTGGGTAAGTCATGTGGCCTTCCTCTGCTGTAGGATGTGCATAGTGATCGTATATACCTTATAGGGTTTCTGCGAGGGTAAAAGGAGTTATGTGAGATAAATAGCAGTGAGCCCATGCCTGACACACAGTAGGTGTGAAGTCATGGTGACCTACAATGAAAAAAATCCCAAACTTTTGACAGGCTGTGGTGCGAACTGCTGCCTTCTTCTCCTCTTCGCGATCTCTCTCATTTCCCAGGGTTTGCTTGTTACTGTCCCTCGCCCTGTCCTCAGCTGAAGTCTGGTCTCCCCACCTGTCCACACGCTGGGTCCACCCATCCAGTCGCCCCGGCCGCCCTCCCTGACGTCCCCGCAGCCCTGGCTGCTGGCCCGAGCGGGAAGCAGCTGGAGGCATAACACATTTCCAGGTAAATCCCCACCCCCACCTTCAGCCTGGGGAGGGAAGGGGAGGAGATGGGGGCGGCCGCGGAGAAATAGAGCGGAGCTGCTGGGAACAGCGCGCCGAGCAGCCGCTTAGAGGCCTGAAACAGGGCCAGCTCCTGTCCTAGATAAGGCGGCGGGTGACCCACTTGGGCCGGCCCTGGAGGTCCGCCGCGGGCGCCTCTCCCGGCGGGGTGGGTTGGCTCCTGGAAGTAGGCTAGGGCCCGTCTATAATCAGCCCGTCCGCTGGATACGCTCCCCAGGGTCTCCAAAGCCCTCCAGCCCGGGTGAGTACAGAGGGCATTTATTGAGCACTTAATGTGTGTTTTGAGTCCTTTACATGCAAGAATTCATTTTGCCCTCAAATCTACGCTGTAAGGTAGGAATTATGATGCCCCCCATTTCACAGACAAGAAACTGAGGCGCAGACCCGTGAAGGTAAATGGCCAAGACCAACAACCAGCAAGGGCAGGGCTGCAATCCCACCCAGTTTCGGTGGGACTCCAGGTATCACACGGGCATAGCCTGAGGGGTGGGGGGTCTGACTGCTGCTCTGCATTTCTGTGGGGATCTTTGTTATTATCCCGGAAAGCTGGCTTCCTACAGTGCTGTGTGATGGACACACAGCAACTGAGGGAACTGCCCCACCCAGGACTCAATTTCCCCATCTGTAAATGAGACTGCTAGACGGGCCGCCCATGGGCTGTGAGAACCCAGGAAGCTTCTTTAAAAGTAAAAGGGAAAGCACAGTATAGTTTGATAGATTCATATTTGAACCCCAGGTTGATGTGAAACTATGCCTCAGTTTCCCTATCTATTAAGTGGGGGAGTAGGCTAGTGCCTGTCTCCTGTGGGCGTGGGGTACGTCTAGAAGGTGTAGCTTGCAAATTGCTCAGCGCTGTGCTGGGTTATATAGTTAGCGCTCCACAGATCACAACTGTGATGCCAAAAACACATCGCTGCCAAAAATAAGCCTTAGGACAAAAACATCCAGGACCATGTCACTTCACATCTCCTTACCTCAGTTTCCTCTGTAAGTTGGAAGTATAATAATAGTACCTACCGTATCAGTTTTCTCATCTGTAAAATGGGGGTGATAGTAATACCCACTCACACGGTGTTGTGAGGATTAGATAAAATACTTTGCTACATAAGTGTTAGCTATAGTTGTTATTTTTAACAAATTCCTCATGAGGTTGGTTTTTGCCAAGATTAAATGAAATAATGCCGATAATGCACTTATACAGTGCCTTGTCCCAAATATGTGATCAGTAAATGACACTGGTTTTGCCACCCCTAGTGGGACTACAAAAACCAGCACGCCCTGCGCCCCCAGTCGGGGCCCCTCCACCCGGCGCCGGCGCGCAGCATGCCGGGAGTTGCAGTCCTCGCGAGGCAAGTTCCGCCTCGTCCCTGCTTGGGGGAGGAGGTTGGAGAGCCGCCCTGCCGGCCTTTGAATTTTGCCGCGAAAAGCGCGCGTGGCGGCCCCCGGCTCCGCCCCTCGCAGGACGCGGTGCCGCGTCACCCTGGTAACCGCCTCTCAGCCGCCGCTGATTGGGCTGGGCCGCGGGGGGCGGGCGGGGGACGAGACGCGGGGGCTGCTGCCGGCGCTCGCGCCTGTCAGTCGGGCCAGAGCGGAGCAGCGGGCAGGACTGCCTGGCCGGCTGCTCCGCGGAGAGGCTGCGCGCGCCGGCCGGGGGAGGCGGACAGCCGGGCCCGGCGCCTGTGGGGCGCGGCGCGCGGCACCCGGGCCTGAGACCAGGCGAGGCGCCGGCGCGCGCCAGACGGCGCGAGGCTGCGGCCCCGGGAGCCCCCGCGCGCCGCCCGGGGCCATGGGCGCGTGAGAGCCCAGCGCGCGCGGCCCCTGCTGCGGCTTGCGAGCTCGCACACCCGGTGCACAGTCCCCCGGGCCGTCCTCGTGTCCGTCCTGCGCCACTGGGATCGGCTGTTTCTCAGCGCCGAGGCCCCCGAGGCTGCATCCGAGCTTGCGTCGCCCGCTGCCGCCGCCGCCGCCGCTGCCGCCGCCGCTGTTCGCCGGCTTCCCCTCCCCCCACACCCGGGGCTCAGAGCAGGAGGAGGAGGGGCCGGTGCATTCTCGCCGCTGTTCTTTGCAACCTGCAGGGGCCGGTGTATGTCCGGCGAGGAGCCGGGGCCGCTGCGGGTGCGTGCAACCCCCGAAGGAGACAATCCCTCCACCTCGGGGCGAACCCGGGGGCTGCAAGCCGCGGGCGGGCGGGCGAGCGAGAGGAAGCAACAAAGACAGGCTGCAGCTGGGGCTGGCGAAAGGGGCCGCGGCCGCCGGGCTCCCAGCGCGGGCGGAGAGGGCGCCCTGGGAGCGGCGCGGGCCGAGCTGCAGCCTTGAGCGGGGCCCCGAGGGGAGGCGCAGCGCCGCCCGCCGGACGTGGCGATCACGGGCCCCGGCGAAGATGCGTCGCCTGAGCGCCCGCGCGGCCCCCGTCCGGGGCGGGCGTGACCCCTGCTGAACGGAGACCTCCCCTCCCCCCCGACTTCGGACGGCGCAGGCCGGCGCCAGGATAGCCCTCACCGACAGCGCCCCTTCCCACCCGGAGAGAGGCATCGACCCCCAAGGAGGGCTTCGTCAGGCAGCCTCTGCCACTCCTGCATGGCTGCGACCCGTCGAGCGGAGCGTCGTGGTAGCTGAGACCTGGTGCCCTTCGACGGCCTGGCTGATCCGGTGAGTTGTGCGGGGCGGGGTTCTGCGCTGGAGCTGGGGGCACCCCCTGGCGTCCGGGCAGCCAGGATTGGACAGAAGGGGTCCTAGGCTGTTGGGGGTCCTGAAGCAGAGATAACCCTTGTCCGCCCCTTTCCTCCCTCCAAACACAACTTGTTCAGATGGGCCAGCCGATGGGAGTGGAGGTTGGGGGGCCCATTCGGATTCCGCGGGACCCTGGGCGGGTTGGTTGCCAGAGAGGAAAGGTCACCCCACCCGTAAAGCTAACAAAGGTATTGGCTGTGTCATCCGAAAATTCCCCGGGAACTCCAGTGTCTTGGAAGGGCTGGGGGGTGGGGGGCACCCAGGATGGGAAAACGTTGAGGGTCTCCCGAGCAGCCTCTGAGATCTTCAAGGGAAATCACCTCAGAGGGGGATTTGGGGTTCCAGAAACGCAGGTGGCCACGTTTGAGAATTGTGCCCCATGGGGCTAGACCTTAGAGCCCTCGTTCAAACCACGTTCCCACAAATAACTCGCAGGGACGGTAGGTTCCCCAGTGGGGGCACGACATGACGTCAAACCTTAGCCTCTGATGTCACTGGGGTTGCCGTGGCAACACCACTTGCCTTGACCCAAGGCCGGAGGGGGCGGGGTCGTGGTAACAAGGGGCGGGGCTGGATGCCTTTGGGTAGTGGAGGGGTGAAGGCGGACTCCCCCCACCCCTACCATTGCAGTCCTCTGACCTAAATCCTTAGCGCCCCATAAGGTGGGGGAGGGAGGCAGTGCCAGCTGTCCCTGTTGATGCTCCTCCCCGCAAGGACAGGTGTTCAGAGCTTTGCCCATGTAGCCTGGCCTGTGCCTCGGGGCTCAGGCCTCCCAGACAGAGCAACTTTCTGTTTTGAAAAGAGATGCTATAGAAGAGACCTCCCTGAACCCCACCATGTACCCAGCTGGCAGGCTGAAGTTCCCAGGGTCCCCAGAGAGATGTGGGCCTCCGGCCCTCCAATAGGCTACTTCTGCTGGGGAAAATGTGGGTGCCCCTCCCCCAGCCAAGGAAGGTGCAGAGGAGCTGCTGCCTGCTGCACCCCTAGTCCAGGGGCTCCCCATGCTGTTCTACCCCAAGGTCAGGGGCCTTGGCCAACCTGGAACTCCTGATTGCCCCCTGCTCCTTCTGGTGTTTAAGAGGATTTCAACGAGCATATTGTGAGGCTGCTTAAGTGAATGGCGGGCAAGTGAGGCCCATCAGTGCCAAGGTCTGAATAAACTGTGTCTCTGTCAGGGCACCCCCAACCAACACACACCCCAGTACTGGCACGCTTCCCTGCAAAGGCCCAGAGAACCCCCAGCAAGCATCCTGCTGCTGGCTCTGGGATTCGTCTAGGTCCCTTCCAGCAATTATTGCCAGTGTCGGGTGCTGGTGAAACTGCTGTGATCACATTTCTAGGAAAAGGTTCGAAAACTGTCATTGCCTCAGCAGCGTGGGGCGGGGTAAGAGCAGAGAAAGTGTGTGTTCGGGTCATTAGGAGAAGCCAGGCCCCAGTCTATGCAGCGAGCATTTTCCCTGCTCTTCTACCAAGCTCTCTAGCTAGATTAACAGGTCAATAAATATCGGTGGAGCTGCTTTTGGGGGCTTGGCAGGGAGATGGTATTTCCAGCTGAAATGGTGTCGTTAAACACACAAGCTTCCAAGGACAGAGGAGCAACAGCAGATTGGGGGAGAGCCGGGAGAGGTGGGCAGAAGGGCTGTTTGCGCTGCCTCTCGAAGCTTCCCAGTTTAGAAACAAACTCGGAGTGCGCGCCAGAGATTCACAAACACAGGCAGTTGGAGGCCCTCTGCCGAGTATTTACACTTCCACAGCCAAGGCAGAGGGAAAGGCTGTCAGAATTGGGCAATTCCTTCTGTTCCCTTCCCTCATCTCCCTGGGCTTGGCACTCAGCGTGCCAGACGATGAGCAGGAGGGAGTGCCAGCTTTCTCAGCATCTCCCTATATGCCAGGCGTTTTACATGATCTCAGTTACTCCTTGGAGTGGCTCATACGCTGTGGCCCATTTTATAGCTAATGAAACTGAGGCTTAAACAGAGGAAGTGATGGGCTACAGGTGATCAGCCAGGCAGCTGCAGAGGTTCGGTCCTGAATTGCCCTCCTGGCTCCAGAGTCCTTGTGTCTTACCACCTCCTCCCATGGGGTTTGGGGGACACTCCTACTTATTGGACAGGGGTCCCTGCAGGCATCAGAGGCTATCAGCCATGGAGGGGGAGTCTGGCCCCACCAAGATGCTTTGTCCACACCAAAAGGCAGATTTGAATCCTCTCTTCCTATGACCTACAGGTCAGCGTTGAGTAGATTAACAACTTCCGCCCGGCCTTGTGGTCTGTCTGGTCCCCTCACCCCCAGGACTCCTTTCTCCAGCACTAGGGGAAAGAAGGTGTAGCTTGAAACTCGCTCCTTGTCACCTGCCCTTCTGGGCTTGCTTGGAGGGAGGCGGTGAAGCTGCCCCTGGCCGCCCCAGGGACCTTCTTGGGATGTAGATGGAGCAAGGGCAAACTAGTAGATGAGGTTCCTGACCCAGCCTGAGGGTCAAAAAGCCCTAGAGGAGAGGTGGCACATGAGTCATGAAGAGGACAAATAGGAATGTGCCAGACAGGAGTGAGAAGACTGTTCTGGGTGGCCGGAGTGGCCCTGGAGCAGCCAGTGATGTGTGTGGGCCCTCGTGCCTGATGGGGAAAGGGGCAGCCGTGAGTGGCTGTGTCCTGGAGCCTTAGGTGGATAGGGAAGGTTTAAGCAGGGCAGAGGATCCATTGATCTCCTTTGACAAGGACAGTAACCCTGGACATCTCTTCCCGTAAGCGTGGAAGTGGCCACCTCGGTTCTGGGGGCAGTCTCCTCTCTTAAGGTTGGCCCCACCCCCACTAATCCTTCTCACTTATCTAATTCCTGTAAGCTCGTCCATCCCCTGTCCCTTCTGAGCCTTAGGGCTGCTCTGGACTAAACTGGGACTGGGCTGGACTGCTGAACCCCCTTGATGAGAAACTTGAGGCGCCCTGGTGATGGGCAGTGGCTCCTGATTAGGTGCCAGGCTCTGGCGTGGGTTGGGCCTGGATCGTACTCTCAGCCCGCCGCTTGCAGGCTGTGTGACCTCGGGTGAGTACCTTTGCCTCTCTGAGCCCCAGTTTACTCATCTGTGAGAAGGACCATAGCACTCACTGTGCAGGGTCTGGTGAGGATTCAGGGAGGGCCTAGCACAGCACACAGTATACAGTAAGCACTCAAACGCATGTTGTCATGGCTACTGTTACCTCCTCCTCAGAACGGAGCCTTGAATGACTCAGTCCCTTGGAGCCAAAGGTTGAAGACCCCATTTGCAGGGAGAGGCCCGAACTCTACCAGCTATCTCTGCCAGGGGCTTCTCTGTCCACTGAGGCCCCCACCCACCCACCCACATGGTGAGCACCGGTGGCTCTTTTCTGAGCTTCTGCGGGGGCTGGGACTTGGCCGGGGGTCCCTCCCCAACCTCCCTCCAGCCCCCTCTGCCTTCCCATCCCTCACAAACCGGAGGAAGGCAGCGAAGCAGCTCATATTCATGAACCGTAATTCAATCAGGCGGCGATTCCTCTGGGCTCGGGGCGGGGGTGAGAACGAGGAGGCGCGCACAAAAGGGCCGCTTTATTACCTCCCGCGGGCCGGGAATTGCTGCTCTCTCCCAGCAGCGGCCGGAGCCGCTTTATTGTGTTAACCCATTTGCGTGTCAAGAGCTATTGGGCGCTTTCTCTGCCTGTGCGTTGCGGGCCGCGGGAGGAGGGCTGCGGTGCCGGCCGGTCACCTCCGCGGGCGCCGCCCGCCGCCCTGATTGGTTGCTAAGTGATTTGCATCCAAGGTAATCACTTTTATCTCAGAAGGATGTCGACTATAATTATAAGCTACTGACATCTTTTGAAATCTGCCTAATGACTATTTTAGTCTGCACGGGCTGGGTGTAGGGAGGGAGATTCTGGAAAGGGTGGAGGCTGGGAAGAGGGATGGATTCCTTCCACCTGGACCCCTGATTGCTTAGTTGAGAAATATCTGAGTACCTACTGCATGCATCAAACAAAAGATGGGGTCTCTGTGATGGGGGGCTTGCATCCCTGTGGGCAGAGTTAGTGCCACTTCAGAGATGGGGAAACGGAGACCCTGGGGAAGGGGCGACCTGCCCAGACCACACAGCCAATGTGCAGCCACCATCTGGGTCTCTCTGACCCCAAATTCATGCCCTGACCACTCCAGTGGTCACAGTCAGGAATCATGTAATCATGCCTGGATACAGGTCACCAGACTAGTACCTTCCAGAGTTTACGTCATAACCCTAAGAAATGCACATGCTGGTACCACCCCCATTTTGCTGAGAAGCAGGGGCCCAGAGAAGGTATTATACTTTGCTGCCCGAGGTCACACAGCCAGGGAGTGGCAGAAGTATGAGGTTCATTGGCAGCCAGAGATGGGAAGGCAGAGGCGGGGTTCCAGCTTCCCACTCCTCTTCCCACCCACTCGTGGTTCCATTCGGTAAAACCAGGCTTTAGGTAAAGACTGAGCAAGGACACCCTGTCGCCCGTGTCCCAGTGGTCAAGTGATAAGAAATCAGATGGCCCACAGCCTCTAGAGGGAGTAAGATGAGTCTGCAGTTAACTGGAATTCTAGACAGGGCTGGAGCAGGGCTGGAGGAGGGAAAACCTGCAGCTGGTCCTGGAGGGCTTCCTGACAAAGCGGGCTGTGCTCTGTGCCCTGAGGACTGAGTGGCTCTCCCCAGCATGGAGTAAATGGGGGTGTCTCTGGCAGAGGGAGTTTGGAGACCCGGGAGCATGACCAGGAAGGGCAGGGGGAGCTTATAAGATGGTGGAGGTGAAAGGGAGATTAGGAGGGTGTGCAGGGGGCATCGGGTGCTGAGCTAAGGGTGCTGTGAGGCCCTGAGGAAGAGGGAAGCCAGTGAAAGCATCTGAGAGGCAGGGGCCAGCTAAGATCCCAGTGCCTTAGAGGCCAACAGAGAGCTTGGGAGTCGCAGACCTGGGCTGAAACCCGGTGAGAGAGAGCACCTGCACTCTCACTGGCTGTGTCCTCAGAGAAATTATTTTACCCCTCTGTGCCTCAGTTTCCTCTTGTTCAGGAGAGTCTCAACAGCTTTCTCATGGGCTTGTGGGTGGGGTGAGCTTGCATGTGCATAGTGCTTGCAGGGGGCTTAGCTGAGCCCCTCAGAGCTGGGTGGGCTGGGCTTGAATACAGGCCTGGGCCAGTCCTGGCCCCACAGCAAGCCAGCATCCCAGCCGCAGCAGCTGTTTGGGGCCCTGGGGGCCCCTGCTATTGTGCAGAGGGCACAGGGGACAAAGGCCTGGGAGGTCAGGGGGTGAGGCCGAGACTAGCTGTGAACAGGCTCCCGGGGATGGGGACTTAATGACGCAGAACTTAATGACCCAGAGTCTGTGGGGAGGGGGGCCTCCCTTGGAGGAGGAGGGAGGTCCAGCCACCAGCTGTCTGCTCCAGGATTCGCTGCCAGGGCACGGGCAGCTGCCTCACAGAGTCCAGGCCTGAGCTTGGCACTGGGGGAGGCAGAGGTGGCAGGGCCTCCTGGCATGAAATCCCCAGGCCTGAATGCAGGGCTTGGCCCTGCCCCTCGGCATCTGCAGATCTCCGTCTCTTCATCTGTGATGGGCCAAGGGACCACCTTAGAGGGCAGCTGTGAGGTTTGGCAGTAACCGATAGCCAATGGGCAGTAAACAGGAACTGCTATTTTTGCTCTTTATCCATCCGTTCATTCAGAGAGCTTCCCTGCTCCAGGCCAGGCTCCCTGCCAGATGCTGGGGACATGAAGATGAACAAGCCCCAGTTGCCTTGAAAGGTGGTGTGTACCTACCGAGGGAGAGGCCTCGAGTGCACCCCCTCAGCCACCCAACAAGTGCATGTGGGTTAATTGCCACAATGGAGGAATTCACAGTATGTGGGCACTGTGCCAGGGGCAGGGGGGCACAGCAGTGAACAAGCCAGACGTGGGCCCTGCCCTGGGCCACCACCAGTCTCTCAAAGGAAATCAGAGGTGGAAACAATTACTTCTGGCTGGAGTAGCCAGGGAGGGCTCCCTGGAGGAGGTGGCACTTGTAATTGAATACTTTTGCCTATTATGAGAATCACAGGACACTGGTATCTGCTGTGTGCCAGACTGAGTTTCCTACTTTGGCATTTTGTTCTCTCATTTAATCCTCATATCCCTCTCTGAAGGGTGTTTTTATCCCTGTCATGTGAATGAAGAAACTTAGCCTGATGATGTGAAGCAGCAGCCCTGGGCCACATGGCAGGCCCACAGAACCCCCTTCATTATCCACACAAGCTTTTGCCTCTTCACTGCCTGTAAGGGTACTGGGCATGGTAGGATCCTCGGGCAGGGGCCGAGGGGACGCTGTTCTGGGCCAGCTGTCTCCTTTATGAGCTTCACGACCTTCAGCAGGTCACCTTCCCCCACCCCTCCCAACCCAGACTCAGCCGCGTCCTTCATAAATGTCAAGGATGGCAAATCTGTGGCAGGCCTGGCTTGCCTTATGCCGCTGTGCCCTTGGCAGACATTGCCAATCAATTGCTGCCCTCTTTCCCTGCTGAGTTCTTCCCCTGACCTTGGGTTCCTTCCAGGGCTCTGGGCAGGCAGCGCCAATCAATCAGCAGGGCCTGTGAGCTGAAACCAGTTGCCTGCCTGGCCTCAATGAGCTCAGGGTGCCTCTGGCCCGTCTCCATGTGGCTCAGAGGACCAGGGGGGACAGCGAGGGATTCTAGGGGATCTCTGTGTATCCAGGTTGTTCTTAAGCCACAAAAGCCTTTTAGGTGGGAGGGTCTGTTACCCTCTTCTAACTCCCACTTGTGTTCATCCATGCAGATTCCGAGCACTGACAGTCTGGATGATGATAACAGCATGTATTTAGTTCTTCCTGAGAGCTAGGTCCTTCCTGGGCACTCTCTCGTTCATCATTCTGCAGAACACCTGCAGCAAGCCTCCCTGCACCTCCAGGGAGAATTCTTAACCCATTTTAGAGATGAGGGAACTGAGGCTTGGCTCAGCTAAGCAGAGTAGGGTCACGCACTTGTTGGGTGGCCGAGCTGGCATTCAGACCCAAGTCTGAAAGTTCACAGCCTGGGACAGGGCTGTAGGTGGCAGGCAGACAGGGGAGCCCTCCCAGAAAAGATGTCATTTTTTTGGAGGCTTTAAAGGCTGGTGGGCTTCTGACGGGCAGAGCCAGGAAGGGTGAACGTCCGGGTGGAGGGAACAGCATGAGAGGCAGCTCAGAGGCAGGCAGGTGAGAGTGTTTACTAAGGGAGCAGTGTGTAACCAGATGTGGCTAGAATGTGGAGAGAGAGGACTGTGGAAGGAGCCAGGGCTGGCCTGGATGTTTGGACTTTGCTTTCCCATAGTAGGGAGCTCTGGCAGCTCTTTCAGCAGAGTAACAGTGAGGTCCCGTCTAAGAGTACTTATTCAACAGCTCTGTGAATCCTGGGTGAGGTTGCTTGGGGGGCTACCTTCAGTCTACTAGAAGCTTTGGCCTAGAACAGTGCCTAGTGCACAGTAGGTAGACATCCAAGAAGTATTGATTGAATGAATAAATGAATGAAGACTCCCCGGACTAAAATGCTCCTGACCTCCCCAGGGGCCCAGCTGCAAGGAGGGGAGAGACCAGAGTCCTCCTCTCCAGGCAAAGTTGAACACCAGGCCTGGCAGTGACGGGCAGGAGAAGGGGCCAGGCAGGTACCTGGGACAGGGCTTCCCCTTCACCACTCCCCTACCCTGCTGCCTGTCCCCAGGACCCCTCCTAGACCTTCCTGCTGGGCTGTCTGCACCTTTCGAGCCACACCTGGCGGGCAGTGTGGGCCCAGCGCTTGGGGGGATGAAAGATGAAGGTTCGTGACCATTTTTTAACTCAATAAAGGGAGAGACAAGCTGCAGGCTGCAGGCCGGAGATATAATTAGTTCACAGCAGTGGCGCTTTCTTGATTTAGCTTCTGAGAGAACAAGACAAGGATGTTATACCCAATTAGCAGTAACATCCAGTCGGAGCCTCAATAGGTGAGATAACAAGCTATTTTTATGACTTTTCTTTCCCAGCTTGGAGGGAGCGGGTGGGGGGGGGAGGGGGTATCAGGGCCTTATTTCTTTTCATCAGGGAACAATTATTAGCGATCTCAGGATTTCCCAAAGCCAAATGATGCATTTGTTAACCCAAACATGCAAGCATCCCAGGGTAGCAGCAGGGGTGGCAAGCTGGCATTTTGAGCCCGGGGTGGATGGGAGGGGTGCAGGCCACTAGCCTCTATTCTGGAAGCCCTCTGAAAAGGTTCCCAAATGTGGGCAGCAGAAGCGCAGGCCCTTGAGATATTCTTAGTATTTGCCTTGATTTCCCTACCTGCGTTCAAAGGGACATAAGGAGGCCAGGCCAGTTTCCCTGGGGATGAGGAAGGAGCCAGTTTTGGCCCTTGGCAGCCCTTCTTGGCACCACTGTAGATTCTTTCTGCCAACTAGGCCGGAGGTTCTGGCACCTCAGTCTTGAACCTGCCATTGCACTTTGCCCACCCAACCCCCATTATGGTTCGCCCCACCCAGCCACCCTTCTCCTGTCCTGGGTCCCGGGCCCAGTCCCTGGCAGGGCCAGACTGGTGATTAGCTCCTTTCTCTCCATCATTAGACCCGCAGTCAGGGCACCCAGCACTGGCCAAGTCCCTACTGGGCAGGGAAGCCCTGCCAAGCCCCACCCCAGCTGCCTGGCTGTGCTCCCACTCCTGGCGAAGGCTGGGGGATGCCCGGAGAGGGAGCTGGCAGGGCTGCTGTGATGCCGCATCGCATCGGCCTGGGCCCCAAGCCCAGAGCAGGTTCCTGGGCCTCCGCCCCTCCTCCTGAATCTTGTCCCGCCCTGTCCCACGTCCCATCTTCCTGTCAGTGTGGAGCTCCCCACTCCCGGTTCAGACAACTGACAAATCCAGCCATGCAAAGTGGGAGTTTAATTGCAAACAGTTTTTACGGATCATGGGCCCATCTGTGCCACCATATGCAAAAGAGAAAAAAAAATCCCCTTTTTTTTTCTCCCCACCCCACAAACTACAAAAGAAACAATTGCCAAGGTTTTTCTAGCTGGAAGCAAGCACAGAGCTGGGACCCATCCCCGGGGGCTTCCTGCAGGGTGGTCCTGGCAAGGCCAGATAGGGCAGAGATGAGAGAATTCCAGGGGACCCACCCAGAAGTTGAGATCTGACTGCAGAGAGGCTGTGACAGCCTCAGCAAACTGCTGGCAGCTCCTGAACCCACTGAGATCTCTCACAGCTCTGGGCCTTGGCACGTGCCATGCCATGGTTCAAGTACCAGGTCCTGGCCTTTTCCAGCTACCTGGCTGACACTATGCATGGCCTGTGAGACAGGGCTTGGTGTGGAGTGGGCATTGCACAGTGTTCATGGAAACATGTGAAAGAGCCGTGTCACGGGGCCCCAAGGACGAGGCGCCTTCTGTCCCCTTCCTACCCAAGAAATGCAACTCCAGGAGGCTGGGGCTGACCAGGCCTCACAGACTCCCTTCTTCCCAGTGGTGCCTCTTGCCCTGGTGCCCAGCCTGGCTCTGCCGATGAATGCCACCCAAGATGTAAAGGACATTGGGCGCCAGCAGCCCACCCTCCTCGGGCCCTCAGATGAGGCTTCCCCCGGGGCCTGCGTGAGCTTCTGAGAGGACTCACCTGAAGCAACCTGCCAGGGTTCGATTCTCATGCCACCCCATCCTAGCTGGGTCACTTCAAACTGTCGGTCCTCCCTCTCTGTGCCTCAGTTTCTTCCTCTGTAAAATGGGAGTGCTGGACGTAAAGTGCTTCTCTGCTTGTCATCTCTCTTCCCTTGTGAGGTGGGGGTGAGGGTCCTTTGCTTTGTACACTAATGTCTTCCCAAGTTTCTAATTGGAACACCCAATGTTGAATGAATGAATGAACGAGTGAGTGAAGGAATGCATGAGGGAGGTATTTGGAGGGCTTTCCGGAGAGGAAATGGGACACAGGCACTTGGCTTGCCAGGAATTCAGGATTTTTAGTCCCTTTCTTGTTGGCATCCGGAAACCACCGTGCAATCTATGGGAATGATGAACTCCATTCTACAGGTGGGGGAAACTGAGGCTCAGAGAGATTGAGGGACTCTCCCAAGGCCATATAGCTGAAAAGAGGCCAGAGCTGGGACTGGAACCCTGGGCTGAGCAACTCCAGCTGGCCAAGTCCCTGCCCCTCAGGTGAGGAGAGTCCAGCCCAGAGCTGGGAAGGAGCTTGGCCAAGGTTACACAGCAAGAAAATAGCAGCCAGCATTTGTGGGGCACTTCCTACCCCCATTTTACAGATATACTGTGTGCTGTGCTAGGCCCTCCCTGAATCCTCACCAGACCTTGCGCAGTGAGTGCTATGGTCCTTCTCACAGATGAGTAAACTGAGGCTCAGAGAGGCAAAGGTACTCACCCGAGGTCACCGAGGTACTCCAGCCTCAGAGCCAGGCCAGCCAAGTCCTGCTTGCTCTTCTCTCTTCTCCCTCTCCCTCCCCCTCCCTCCCCTAGGTCTGCACCCTGTGGGTTCCCTATGCGCCTTACCAACTGTGTGTGCCAGCAGCCGGGCCCCGAGCGGGGGTTCCAGTGTCCAAGGCTAGGCACCTTGCACAGCCCTCTTGCAGCAGGTAGCAGGGGAAAGTGGGACGCAGGAAACATCCCCATTTCCTGGGACCCAGGTGAGACCAGGCCAGGCACCAGGCAGCCCATTCCCGGCCTGTAGTGATTACCAGCTCCCATTGTAATCATTAAAACTATTAGAAGGAAACGTTTGCTTGAAGCAAATGTCAGGCGCCAAGTTGTGCTTTGTAAACGCTCACAATTAATGCCAATCAGGCCCGGAAAAAAGCCGGCCCGGAATCCTGTCTGTTTCGTCTCATTTGTCAGCTGGTGCTGCTCCATGTTGCACATTTTCATACAATTGCTATAAACATAAAAGGGAAACTCCACAGTGTTCCCGGGCGCCCGGATGGTGCGCGCCGGCTTAATTACTTGGTATTCTGCTGTTCATTTGGCCGCCCTGAGCTGGTGGGAGAGAGAAAGGGGGACTTTGTGTAGCAGGGCGAGGGTTGCTGGGGGTCAGCCAGGGAGATGGGTCAGGCTGCTGGCCTGGGCCTCCTGCCCCGTTCTCTGTAGGCTGTGTGACCCACAAGCTAAGCTGGGAAACAAGAAAAAATTGCTAAAAAAAAAAAAAAAAAAAAAAGTTGGCAAAACCTTCAAGTAGAAAAGGGATTCAGAGTCCACCAGACTTGGTTTCAAATCCCTGTTCCCTCTCCTAGAATAGCTCATCAGGTTTATGGTCCACCTCCTGCATGCCAAGCATGGGGCCTCAGTTTTCCTCATCTGTGAGTTGAGGGTAACAGCCCAGCGGTCAGGATTTCAAGCCTGCTGGGGCCTGGGGACATCATGGTTTGGTTTTGTTTTCCCATTTGGTTGCTGCACAGACCCTGTGAGGGTGAGCTGCCCCTCTTAGCAGAGTGTGAGGGCCACAGTCCCACAGCAGGAAGTGGTGGAGCCAGGATTTGGCCCCAGATCACTGGCTGCAGAGCCTGTAACCATTGTACCATCCTCCCGCACCCACCCCGGGCAGCCATGGGGCTGAAAGAAGATGTGATGTCTACAGGTCCCAGCACGCAGTAGGTGTTTGGTAAACAGTGGCTGCTGTCTGCCCACTGCCTGGAGATGGTCAGGAGCAGCAGGGGGGCTCAGGCCTGGCTTGATGGTCAGCACCAACGGGATGTGGACCTTGCCGGGTGGAGGGTGAGAATGGAGTGGTCTAGAAGCAGGTGCTGTTCCCGCTTCCCTAGGGGCCTGGGTCCGCCTGGCTTCCAGGGTGGGACTTAGGAGGGAGATGCTGAGAACATGCCTGGCCAGGCCCCAGGGGACTCCCGCCAACCCCCATCCGCCCTTGCCTTGCACCTGGCTCTGAGGTGCTGGGTGTGGTTGTGCACTAGGCCCCATGTTGTCTCACCAGACCTCTGACAGTCCAAAAAGTTGGGTGTGCTATCGTCATGGTCCCCATTGTACAGATGAGGAAGCAGAGGTCCAAGCTGACCCAAGGTGGCCGGGCTGGGAGGTGGGGATGCTGAAGCCGGCTCCTGCCCAGGTTCCTCGTTCCCAAGTCTCTTGTGCCCTCCTAGCCCCCTCCCTGTAGAGACTGGACGCGGCCCTGCCACACCTTACACCCCCTCCCCAGGGCCCTTTTGAGCTCTCCAGCTCTCTGTGGTCGGGGTCTTCTGAGGCCAGGCTGGGACACACTGGCCTTTGTGTGAGCTTGAGCCGGGCCGGGCGGCCAGCAGAGTGGGGAGAGGGCGGTGCAGCCTGGCCGGCCAGGGACAAATGCTCAGAGCGGGAATAGAGGCCCTTTTGTGTGCCTCTCGGAGGGGGAGGGGGTGCTGCCAGCTGCCATCCCGTGTGACTGTGGAGGCCTGAGCCCTCCACAGAGGTTTGGCCGACACCTCCAGGGGACTGGCCAGGGAGCCTGTCATCATCAGCTCTGCCTCCTTCTCTGACTATTTTGTGTCTTGCTCTTGTTTCCTGGGGGTCCTTGGCTGCTAGAGGAGCCAAGGCAGCCATTAACCTGGTTTGCTGTGGGCCTGCTGTGTGCCAGCCCTGAGCCCAACACTCCAGCCACCCTTCAGGCAAGGGGCGGTAGTCTCATGTTTCAGATGCAGACACTGAGGTTCACGGAGGACAGGCAACTTGCCACGCTGGCACGTGGTCATGGGGTGGGGATGTGGCCGACTCTAAAGCTTTCTCTGTCTGTAGAGTTGCCCTTTGTGTCATGCCCTGGGGTCCAGGTTTGCAGCTTAAGGTGCTCACTCCCCAGGGTAGGCTAGGGGAAGAGCAGAGATAGGTGCTGGGGACTGGGCCTCCAGGTGTACCCCACCACCAAAGTCCTGGGTGAAAACCAGCAGGAAGTCTTCAGGTGTCTCTGTTCCCTGAGGGACATTCTGTCCCTCAATCGTGGCGGGACTCTGGGCTAGTGGCTGCAGGGCATTCATAAACAAGCCCAGGGCCCTGTTGAGGGCCACCATACCTGTTCAACCCGCTCTGAGCCTCGATCTCCTTAACTGAGAAATGGAAATGAAAGAGAACCCGCCCCAGGGGCACTGGGGGAAGATGTAGTGCCAGGACCTGAGTAAAGTGCTGAGCTTGGTACCTAAGCACACTCGGGCCACACAAGCATAGGCTGGGGTTTCCCAGCATTCCTGCTGCCTCCTGGGAGGGGAAGAATATGAGCTACAGCAGTGGGTGGGTCGTGGGTGTTGAAGTCTCTCCCAGGAGCATAATCATGCACCAGGGACTGTCCCACTGGGTCCCTGCCACAGCCCACTTTACATGTAAGCAGTGTGAGGATCAGAGAGCTAAGGTGACTCGTCAGGGGTCCCAGGGTCCCAGGGTCCCAAAGAGATAACACGGGGATTGTGGCTTCTGGTGAGGCCCAGCCCTTAGTCTCTTCCTAATCCCCACTTTGCCTCGTCTGTAGAAGGCCACTATAGACACGGAGTCCCTTTTCTATGAACCCAGCCCCGTGGGAGAGCAGAGCCATGCAGGATGCCCTCAAAGGCCACTTGGCCTCCTGCAGCATATTCCAGCCACCTGGGATGGGCTTGCACCTGCCAGGCCGTACCTTCCTCTGTGCCTTTGCTCAGACTGGGGCATCTGCCAGGTGTACCCTCACCATCTGCAGGGCTAAGAGTCTGGTACCTGCTCACCTCCAGAGCCCCACCCAAGCCCTTTTCACCAATCTCCCATCTCTTCGTGCACAGTGTGGCACATGGTAGGCGTTCAGTGAAGTTGGAACCAAAGATCCAGTCCAGCCCTCAGAGACCTGGTTCCCACCTAGCAGGAGAGACAGACACAAACAGGTCAGTGACAGGGCTACACATCCAAGGATGGAATCAAGTGCGGGACGCCCACAGAGCAGGGAGCTCCCGTTCCATCTCTAAGACTAACCGAACCCCTACTATGCTCCTGAAAACTCTGCCATCTCCTTTCAGTCTTCCCAGGGCAAGGCAGTGGGGTTACAGGTAAAAAAAAAAAAGAGGCTCAGACAGCCAGGTACTGACAGGTCACATGGCTGCCCAGGACACCTTGGCCATTCCAACTCCAAAGTCCCACTCCTTCTCCAGGGTGGAAAACTCAGGTACCCGGGGACCATGCAGGTAACATGAGGAGCAAAGCCATTGCAGCCACCCTCAGGACACATCAGCCCAGGGGTTCCAGCACTGCCAGGTTTGGGTTTTTCCCCCAAGAGAAAGCAGACAATAAGAATTTTAGGTAGAATTCTAGTTTTTCTTTTGGACATTGGCAAACACATCATAAGTTTTTAAATGCAGCAAACAGGGCAAAGAAAAAAAGGTGTGGGCTGATTTGCACCCTTTAATGACCCTGTATTGTCTGGGTGAGGGGCATGCTGGGGGGTCTCAGGACGGCTTGCCTTCCCCATCCCCGGCCAGCAAGAGCCCCCGGAACCCAGTGGCATCTCCCTGAGCCCCTCAAGACACCCCCAGCCAGCGCCTTCACCGCCAGAGGCAGGAGGCAGGGCCTGAGCCCCACGAGGGCACCACCCAAATAGCTATAATCAGCAGCCTCGCCAAGACTTCAAACTCACCCAATTATCCTGCAAGGGAAAAAAAACACAAAATGAAAACAAATTAACATGTTTGCATAGAAGCCGCTGCAGCAACACACACAGACGCGCGCACGCATGCACATGCTGGCGCATGCCCCAGCAAGGCTGGGAGACGGCGCCGCCACCCCCGCTCCCTGGGCCTGGCACCCACCTGGACCAAAATACGGGAACAGGCCCAGCAGCCAGCTTGTCCCCAAACCTGACTGGGCACTGACTCCCTCCACCAGCTTTCAGTTTTTCTTCTTTTCGATTTAATAAACACATACAATTCATTGTGTGCCAAAATGCCACTGCACCAATCTGTGAGGCAGATATATTATGAGCCCCTTTCTACAGATGGGGCAGCTAGCTGACCTGCCTGAGGCTGCACAGCTAGCACGTAGGGGAGCCAGCTGGGGCTTGAACCCAGACAGGCCACTTCCAAAGTCCCTGCCATGACCACCGCGCCTTCTCTGTGGCTCCTTCTTGCCTGTGGGTGGTGTGCCAAGGCCTCAGTCTGCCTTCGAGGTCCCTCCTAACCCCTGTGGCCTGCGTCCACTCTTCCCTTGCCCACGCCACCCAAACGGCCCACCCTTACCCTACAGGCTGGCTCTCCTCCTTACCCTACAGGCCGAGGGGCTGTTGGTGTGATGATTATTACGGAGCCAGGTGAATGTGGGTTCAAATCCCTGCTCCACCAGTTTCTTACCAGATGGCTTTGGGCATGTGGCTTTGCTTCTCTGTGCCTCAGTTTCCCCCCCTGCTAAAATGGAATAACCAAGGAGGTGAGGAAGATTCTGCAGGCGAGTGGCTGCCTACAAGGTACTACTTCTGGCACCTGCCTGGGGGGCGGGGGGGGGGGTTCCTCCAGCCCACACCATTCATTTAGTGCCACAAGGCCCACCTCATCAGACTCACTGAGCCCCTGTTGGTGCCTTTGCGCTCCGTGCCAGGTGCTGCCCTTGCCCTTGGGACACTCAGACAAGAAGCTCAGATACTCCTTTTTCTGGGAAGCAGCCTGTCCTCGGAAGGACCCCTCTTCTCTGGGCCCCCTGAAGCTCTGTCTGACCTGGGATTGGGGTTGCGTGGGCGTGTGTCTGGTCATCTTTGCCGTGTTTGGTTTTTCTCTGGGTTCCTGCAGCCTGGCACACCACAGGTGCTCAGGCAGGGTTGGTGACTGCACTCGTTGGAGCATCCCCTCTCACTCTCAAGGCACACTTGGGGCCTTGTCCCTGGCATTAAAGGATAAACTGCTGGAAGGAATTGAGGTTTAGGTCCTGGGGTTCAAGGATCCCTGCCCTCCTCCCCCGCTGCTGTGTGACTGCAGGCAAATTGCTTCACCCCTGAGCCCATCACTGTCATCTCCTGGGGTGAGAGCTGGGCGGGCAGTTCACGAGTGCTACACTGCATGTGTTCATCACCGGCTTCATCCTCACAACCGGCTGGTGAGGAAGGTGTGGTTTCTACTTCCATGTTTCATATGGAGAAACTGAGTCCCCAAGGGACTCGGTGGCTTACTCAAGACAGCCCTGCTAGTGAATAGCAGAGCCAGGGTTCAAACTGAGTTCTGGGTTTTTGCCTTAGCTGAGGTGCTGTTTCGTCCTTCCTAGACACTGTCCGTCAGGAGCCAGAGGGGTAGTGCCTTGCGGGTCTGGAGAATGAGGGCTACTAGGATGCTATGGTGGTGGCGGGAGGGGTAACTCAACTGGCTGCAGGATCACCCCTTTGGCATGCTGGGGAGGTGACCCAGCGCCTACCCCAGGAGCGGCTGGTCCTGTGGGACATTGGGTGCCCACTCAGAATCCGGCCCTCCCACAGCACAGCCATGCCATGGGCTTTAGAGTCCAGCAGACCTAGTTCGCATCCAGATCCCACCAGGAGCAAATCCTCTTCCTCTCGGAGCCTCTGCCCCTGCTGGAGAATGGGAGGCGTGGATGTATTCACACTCAAGAGAAGGGCTTCCAGCTCCACGTGAGCTGAGGCATGGCACCCGGCACA
Organism: Homo sapiens; assembly: GCF_000001405.40. NCBI lineage: Eukaryota > Metazoa > Chordata > Mammalia > Primates > Hominidae > Homo > Homo sapiens. The sequence goes on from NC_000012.12 coordinate 109,731,554, forward strand.
CAGTTGCTGCTCGATGAAGCCACCCCCTGCCCAGACCTCCTGCAGGAGAGGCCCTCTCCCTTATCCAGAAGCTTCCCAGCCCTGGAGCCTCAATGACACAGGCTGGGGGTGGGGCTTGTGTTGCCTAGTTGGTAAGCTGGGTCCGGAGGAGGCTCTAGCCCTGCCCCTCTGCCCACCCATGTTGAGGGTCTCTGGGGCCCGTGTGTTCTGGGTGTGTGGAGGGGTTTGTCGGGTTGAGGTGGCAAACTACAGTGAAAAGAGCGGGGAGAGACCCCGAACTGTGAACCCTGGACCATGCAGGGAGTGTGGGAAATAAAGGTCCCAGCCCAGCTCTCTGTTCAGGTGGGATTTATTGAGCATCTACTGTATGTCTGGCCTTGGAGTAGAAAGAGACCAGCGAAGGGTTTGTGAGGCCTGAGGCCCAGCCTTCTCACTGCTGTGCACCCTGGGCAAGCCACACCATCTGTGGACACAACCTTCTCACGCAGGGCTGTAGTCACATCACAGTAAGAGGACGTTTGTTACTCGGTGGTTGAGAGTGCAGGTCTAGAGCCCCCCAACTAAACCCTGGGGATAGGGCAAGGGCCGCTTTCAGTGGTCATTGTGAAGCTGTGTACAACCCCCTCACACCCATGCTTCTGAGGCTCTGAGTGCAGAGACTGAGTGCCGGGTGGGAGGAGGTTCTTTCCCCCTCATTACAAAAGTCATGTTCATCTTTTAGTATTTGGAAATGAGTCTGACAAAGAAAATAAAATTCAGCTGACATCTAACTGCCCAGAACTAGCACTTGGTCTCATGTGGGAACATTCTGCCCAGGTGCTGTGCATTTGGGGAGTGTCTGGCCCCAGGAAGGGCCACTCTGTGCTAAGCCTGTCCTGGGCTCCTGGACGCCACCTGCCCGGCCGCCTGCCCAGCAGCCCATTGTCTGGCATGTGGGGGCGCGGAGCAGCCGTTGTTCTGCACACATCTGATCCCGTCTTTTCCACATCAGATCATTTGTAACCGTCACCAGGCAATCGGGCCCGTCGCTGATTCAATCTCGGCTTTGTGCTGTCACAGCCGTTTTTCTGCGCTGGGCTGATTTTGAAAGGACGCCCATCCTCTGGGCCCACTTTTCAGAAGGAGGGGAGGTGGGTGGGGGGAGGTGTGTGTGAGAGTGTACGCAGGACATGTTCCCCACACACGTGTACACACACACACATACATTCCACTGCTACATCTCATCACTTAGAGTAGAATTTGGGATGAGGTAGATGAACAAGGGCCTCAGGCCAGGCCCATCATCCCTACCTCCGTCCCTGA